>NC_000004.12:96194108-96497138 GCF_000001405.40 Homo sapiens | reverse complement strand
AAAATTAAAAAAATAAATAAAATAAAATAAAATTTTCTTAATTTCTTTATATACCCAATGGTTATTCTGAGGCATGTTGTTTAATTTTCATGTATTTGTATCATTTCCAAAGTTCCTCTTGTTATTGATAACTAGTTTTGTTTCCATTCTCGTCTGAGACGATAATTGTTATGATTTTGAATTTTAAAAATTTGTTGAGACTTTTTTGGTAGCCTAACATATGGTTTATCCTAGACAATGTTTCATGTGCTGATGAAAAGAATGTGTTATCTGCAGCTGTTTGATGAAATGTTCTGTAAATACCTGTTAGGTCCTTTTGGTCTATAATGAAGATTAAGTCTAATGTTTCTTTATTAATTTTCTGTCTAGAGATGATCTGTCCACAGCTAAAAGTTGGGTATTGGGTTCCACAACTATTATTGTATTGGGATCACTCTCTCTTTAGCTCTGATACATTTTCTTCACGTAGTTAGGTGGATATATATTTAGAATTGTCATACACTTTTGCTAGATCAATTTTTTTATCATTATGTAATGACCTTCTTTGCCTCTTTCTATGTTTACTGCCTTAAAACCTATCTTAACTAAGTATAGATACTCTGACATGCTTTTGGTTTATTTACTTCGAATTTTTTTTTATTCCTTCACTTTCAGTCCTTATGTGTCTTTATAGGCAGTTTCTATTAGGCACATATAGTGGGGTCTTTTTTTTCTTTTGTCCATTCAGCCATTTCATATATATTTATTTGGGAATTTTAATTATTTACATTAAAGATGATTAATGTTAGGTGAGAAGACACTCCTGTCATTTTGTTAACAGTTTTCTGATTATTTTATATATTTATTATTTTATTATTTACTTTTATAATTTGGTGGGGCTTTTTGATAGTGATTGCATTTAATTCCTTCTTCTTTCTCATTTGTGTATCTGATCTACTATTAAGTTATATACTTTTGTAGAAAATATTCTTCAGGACTGGTCTAGTGGTGATCAATTCCTGCAGTTTACTTGTCTGGGTAAGACTATTTCTCCTTCATTTCTGAAGGGTAGTTTTGCTGGGTATTGTATTCTATTTTTTGTTTTGTATTTTTTGTTTGTTTGTTTTGGCACTTCGAATATATCATTTCATTTTCTTCTGGTTCATAAGGTTTCTGCTGAGAAGTCTGCTGTTAGTCTGATGGGAATTCCTTTACATGTGACTTGATGCTTTTCTATTGATGTTTTGAGAATTTTCTCTTTGTCATTGACTTTTAACCATTTGACTATAATGTATGTGCCTTGGAGAAAACCTTTTTTTTTTTTTTATTAAATCTATTTTGGGATGTTCTATCTTCCTGTATCTGGATGTTTATATCTCTCAAAATGCTTGGGAAGTTTTCAGCAACTTTTTCATTAGCTTTTTATGCCTTTGCCCATTTAGTTTCCTTCTGGGATTCCAAATATTAAAATATGTGTTCACTCTATGGTGCCGCATATATCATGTACACTTTTTTCATTCTTTTATATATATTCTTTATTTATTTTTTCCTGACTGAGTTATTTCAAAAGTCCTATCTTTAAGTTAAGAAATTATTTTCATCTACTTGATCTAGTCTACTACTGAAGTTTTTGATTATATTATTGTATTTCATTCATTGAATTATTTAGTTCCAGAATTTGTTTGGTTCTTTTTTTGCAGTATCTATCTCTTTCTTGAGTTTCTCATCAGAATCATACATTGTTTTGTTTTGCTTCTTAATTTATTTGTATTACTTATCTGTGTTCTCTTGTATATTGCTGAGTTTTCTTAAAATTATTATTTATGCATTCTTTTTCAGACATTTCACAAATTTCTTTTACTCTGAGATTTGTTACTGAAAAATTATTACATTCCTTTAGAGGTGTAAGGTTTCTTTGCTTTTTCATGTTTCTTGTGTCCTTATGTTGATATCTGCAAATCTAGTTTAACAGTCAATTTTTCGACTTTATGGATTGGATTTTATAGAATTTTAAAAAAAAATTAGGTGTATTTGTAGTGTTGTATAGGTGTATTTATAGTGTTGGCTAAGCAGGATCCCTCAGCTTTGATTCTGGATGGGCACCATAGTGTAGTCTTCACATGATTTCTTCATCTATAATCAAAGTCAGTGATATCTGTGTGTTCTGCAGTGGTTTAGGCTGCAGTTGTCAGTGGAGGTTGCAGCAAGGCTTTGTTGGAGATTGAGACATCAGCCATTTCAGTCCTCACACTCCCAGGCAGTTTATGGTGGTCTGGTGGTGGCAGGGCTGCTGTCAGTGGAAGTGTCCCTGGGCAGATGACTTTGAAGCCCTGGAGAAAATGTGTTTCAGCTCCCTTTCTCCTTGGGGAAGTCTCTCTGGTATGATGTACCTCCTTTTCCCCTGGTGTAGGACATTGCATGAGCTAGAGTTCTGGGGACCCAGTCATGCCACTGGGTCCAGCTCATGTCATGATGCTGCAGCCCTGGGGGTGGACATGGAGAATATCAGCAGAGCTCTAGGTTGTGGAGATCATAGGGCTCTTGAGCCCCAGAACAGTATATGATCTACTGGGGGCTGGAATCTCAAAATGATGCCATGCTGCATGTTAGTAGGACCCAGTGTGAATTTCCTCTCTGGATCATTTTAGCCACATGAACTCCAGGCAGCTCTGTACACTAGGATCAAAGCCTGTAATTGCCAAAGGTCTCTCCTGTCGGTAGGATTACAGGTGCCCATGTTGGAAACAGACTACTGGGGGTCTCTTACATTTTCTCTGTGTTAGGGAGTTCCTCCTGGCTCACAGCTAATCCTGGCTGGACCAGTACCTTATTCACTTCCTTCTCCTTTGTGCCTCAGAAGTTCCCTGTCACTTCCCTACAGAATTCCAGTGTTCTATCTTAGATGTTCTATTTAATATTTACTTATCTACTGCATTTTGGTCCTGCTTTGTGGAGGAGGAAAATGTCAGGTGCCTCTACCCAACTATCTTGATAATGTCCTCTCTACATTTTTTTACCTGGCAACCCATCCAATTGTATTGTTTTGATGCCTTCAAACTATGTTTTTGTGTTTTCTTTCCTTTCTGTACTTCAGCTTAACTCTTTTCACCTTCTCCATTGTAGATATTATTTATTTACACTTTTTTGAATTTTTTTGTGTGTATTGTTTTCTGCCTAAGTTGAAATCTTATATACTTTAACACTACATAAGTTTATTAAGGGCAGTATGTCTTTCTTATTTTCTAATTCCCTCTGAACTTATTTTACTGTCTTGCATATTAATAATCAGTAAACATATTTGTATTCACTACCACATAATAAATTTTTTAGAATACTCGATTACGGCCATTTAGGGTATAGAATGTTTTTTGAGATCCCTTGATATCACTATTTTCTTAACTAAAGAAAAACAAACTAGCGTGTGTAATGATACCTCTAATGAACTAAGAACAAGTTAAATATTAAGTGGACTCAATTGAGAAGGTAGAATAAATGGTAAATTAATTGGTCTGAATTGTTTCAACAAGCTACATTTTGATATTAAAAACAGATAAACACATATCTGAAAACATTTATTTTAGACACTTATCAAGTTGGAGTCATAAAATTTTGCTGTACTAAATGTAAAATTTACCAAGTAGCTTCCTGCCTATTCTACATGCAGAGGTGTAAATTAATCATTATCATAGAAGATCTTTCTTGACTATTGAGCAGTTTCACAGCTTATGACAATATGTATCATTGACTCTTAAGGAAAATAAAGCATCAAGAATGCATTGTTTTCTAACCAAAAACATCATCCACAGCACTTGTCAATCTTAGACTCATTCCTTAAAGAAAAATTAATATACTTAGGCAAAATATCTTTGGGGGTTCTAATTTCATTTATAAGGTATACTGTTTTTTTAAAGATATAAAAAACTGGGTGGCTTATACTTTTAACAAAAATAATGGTTTTGCAAACTAATCTACATTTAGGGAACTAAATAAATTCTAGCAGAGAGTGTTAATATCACAATATTCTCTGAGTAGAGAGAATCGTGTTCAGTTTTTTTTTCAAATTACCATGAAGTGAAAACAAGGTAAGATACAGTAGAAAATATTAGATGAAAAAATCTAATTGTTCAGTTACAGTGAATAATTCTCATTTATTCACAACAATTTTTGAACATTACTGAGACTACAAAATAGTTTGTGTAGTTTTAAAATACATTTCCTTTTAATGTTTTTAAATAAATGTCCCTATAATTACTGATATAGTTTGGCCATGTCCCTACCCAAATCTCACTTGGTTGTAGCTCCCATAATTCCCACATGTTGTGAGAGAGACCTGGTGGGAGATAATTGAAGCACGGAGCAGTTTTCCCCATACTGTTCTCATGGTAGTGAATAAGTCTCATGAGATCTGATGGTTTTATAAGGGATTTCCCTTTTTTACTTGGCTCTTATTCCCTCTTTGCCTACTGACATGTGAGACGTGGCTTTGCTCCTTCTTGCCTTCTGCCATGATTGTGAGGCCTCCCAACCATGTAGAACTATGAGTCAATTAAACCTCTTTCCTTTATAAATTACCCAGTCTTGAGTATATCTTCATTAGCGCATGAAAACAAACATATATTACTAAAATTCTATTTTCTTGGCTTGTCTGAATCACCAAAGACTTTTAACTTCTAAATGTTTTATAAATTTGTTCTATAATATTGAAGAGGAAGAAGGGATATAAAGTGGTTATAGCCAATAATTTTCAAGACTTTCACTTTTGTGATTCTTATGTGCAGTGTCATTTGTATAACTTGTTTCAAGACATCACACAATTGCCCAATTGTCTAAAATTTTCTAATTTTTATACATAATAAATTTCAGTTTAGTTTCCTTTTTATTAAGGACCCGAGATTAGAAAAGCCGTACTTTTAGCATGGAAATATTAGTAAAAGACTTTTTTAATCCCAATTTAATTTTTCCACTATTTTTCTCTATAATGATAGGTCTAAGAATGATAACACTTGTTATATAAGAGGAAAATTGATCCTTTTACATCTTTGGTATATGTTAAAAATAATGAGAATTCCATTTCTTAGAGAAAAATTCTTAGTTTTCTAGGCTTTCCTTGAAAGGTTGAAATGAAAATATCTCATTCCTTAAGAAGGCAGACTATGGGCATCCTGAAGTAACTATTTAATTGCCAATTGTAACTTGGAGTTCTCCTTTAATCATCTTTAAAAGGCTGCTGGGGGTTTACAAAACAATTATGCAGGATACAAGGACTTCAAATGTGAGTCTCAATGATTAAATATAACAATGCTTATTCTACAATAGCTCCCTAATTTACATACATATTAATAATAACCTTTTGGGCAATGACAGCATATTGCCCAAAATGCTGGGTTAAATAATAACCTTTTGGGCAATGACAGCATATTGAAGTTATCTCACTAGGTCACTATAGGAAGGGGGATCATTCTGGTCCTTCTGAGTGACTTTAGTATTTATAATATCTTATTGCTATGCCTTTTAATATATCATATTGGTATACTCTATATTGAAAGATTGAATTTTAATAATTGCATAACTATTTCTTATGTCATTAACCATCAAAATCACATTTTAGTGAATAAACTCTACTATTTATTATAATTTCATGTGTAATTTTCTATGTTTTATTCAACTTCTAATTTCTGTATAGATTGTGAGGTCCAGAACACTTTCTTGTTTCTCAAGTTTTGGTAGCAATCAAGTTGTAAGAAAGAAGTTTTGTTAAAATTACTCAGATTTAATTTCTTCCCAATGAAAAAATCCATGGGTAGGAGTGACAACAATCTTTGTACTTAATCTAAGAAGAATAACTTGTTTTTGACATATTAAAAGGGAAACAGCTACCTTGCTGACTCACCTTCTTTGTTTTTCTCATCCCATTTTGTCTTTGTCCTTTAATATGTAGCATCCAGTCAACTGTATGTTGTAGGAATTATATACTGTACTTCTGCCTGTCTCCCATTACCCATGGTTGTTAAGTGTTGTTGCCAGCTTAGTATTTACCTTCCGTAACATTACTGTGAACATAAATACTTTGAAATGTCCTCAGTGGGAAATGGACATTTCTTCCTATCATGATTTGTTAGTAAAGAGAAATGCTAATTGCAGAAGATAATAATTGTTTTCTCCTGTAGTGTAGGGGTGAAAAGGTCTGATACTACTTCCTTACCCATCTCAAGGTCATCTATGGCTGACACGCTTATAAAAAAAGACAGATTAACAAGAGAAAAATATAATATATTTATTCAACAAAGTTTTATGAGATATGGGAGCTTTCATAAATGAAAACCCCCAAACCCCGGGAAAACTGTATTTTTACACTGAGACTCAATGAAAAATGGACAGCCATGTAGAAATGGGATTGAACATGAAGGGAATGATCTAATGGCAATAAATTGGTGGAAAGTTATTAAGGCCTGTTTGTTCAGATTCTTCCTGGCCTCTGTAGCATTCCACTACTATCACCCCTTATCCTGGATATGGGGCAGGTCCCTTCCAGAATGAGGCTCCATGGCCTTTTAGAGGATGTAAGTCAGACAGTAAACTTGTTAGGTTTTATGTTTTCAGACTTTACATAATTTAGTTTTTAGGCTATGAGGAAATAGAATTCTAGTTTCTAGGGTCCATCTTGGGAAAGAGGTATGCCCATTTCTGTGACCAGCTTTAGGGTGCAAAATGGGGAAAGACAAAAGTCGAGGTGAAGAATTTCAGAGAGAATTTCTTGCTCCTGAGGACTTTCAATACCCTTCAGTTCAAAGTACTCTGCATGCCAAAGTGCCATACATTTTAGTATCATGATCTGAGTCCCAACAGTAATCAATTCCCAATCTTTGGGATCCATTTGCTGATCTGCTCTATGGCAGAGGATAGTTATCAGAAAAGTTACTTAACCTATATTACTTTGGTTTTCTTGTCTATAAAAGATGAATAATAAAGATATATTTTCATAGAATATTTGAGGATTCAATAGGACATTTGTGTTAGTCCATTTTTATACTGCTATGAAGAAATACACAAGACTGGGTAATTTATAAAGAAAAAGAAGTTTCATGGACTCACAGTTCCACATGGCTGGGGAGGCCTCATAATCATGGTGGAAAGTAACGGAAGAGCAAAAGTATATTTTACATGGCAGCAAGCAAGAAGACACGTGCAGGGGAACTGCCCTTTATAAAACCATCAGGTCTTGTGATAATTACTGTTATCGTGAGAACAGCATGAGAAAACCCACCCCCATGATTCAATGATCTCTCACTGGGTATCTCCCACAACATGTGGGTATTATGAGAGCTACAATTCAAGATGAGATTTAGATGGGGACACAGCCAAACCATATTAACAATATATAGGAATTGCTTGGGACATTTCCTCCTGTGGCTTCATCAAAAGAGTGGTTGTTATTGAAACTGTTCCCAAAGAGTTAAAGAAAGTAATGACTAACAGAAATGTTTGAGTTTGCAGGACAGCAGGTAAGAAAAGAAAAAACTTGCTAAAATGCTGAAATTCCCTTCACTTGTAAGATAACAAAACTGGCTAAAATCCACTGGAACCAATATGGCCAACTGGAGTTTGCACAGAACAAGCTTGCTGACATCACAGTGTGAATTTCCACTGCCTGTTTTATATTCACGGACCCCCAAATTGCACCTGTGATCCATGAGATAACAAAGAGATAACTATGCATGCCTGAGGACTTTTGAGACATCCCCTTTTCTTCCATCAATCACCTACTAATACCACCAGTCACCCCCTAAACTTTTTCTAATGAAATTACTGCCTTAATGCCAGCACAGGGAGACAGATTTCAGTTGGGCTCCTGTCTCTTTGATGGTTGACCTACAATGAAAACTTTTTAATTCCTCAAAAACCCAGTGTCATAGTATTGGCTTCAAGCACTTCAGGCAGCAAGCCCCTTTTACTCTGTAACATTACTATGTAATCAACTGATTTTTGATACATAAGTTGTTTAATTATGCAAATTAGTGTCTTGTAACAGTATTTCTGCCATAGTATTTCAGCTAGTATTTCTTCATATTTCATTTTAGATGAGTACAAAAATTAAGCAGTTTGAAATATGATATGGTTATATGGCAGGCGAAGTCTCAGTAACAGCTGAACAGGCTGGCCTCCAATGACAACTGTTTCAGCACTGACTGAGTGGTTAAGTTAAATATTAAAAGCTAATAGAGCCACAGCCCTCATACAAAGCCTGAATATAACAAAAGCCCACCAAGAGTTTTGCCTAGGCTTTTCCTGGGCCTTAAAGCATTACAAGATAATGAAGGAATTCTTAACAGGACCTGCTTAGGATTAAACAAGTCTTACTGGGGGTCTGAAGGAACTCCCCAAACCTCCATGATTTAGCAGGAGACAAGATAAGGGTAATCACCCCTAGCACCTGAGCCCATCTAGATTAAGTAAATTTACTGAGTCTCCACAAGAAAGTCTTCAGGACTCAGATCTTATAGACCAGAAGAAGTTAATCACTTATATCTTTAGATGAATGCACACTTACACATCAACATATAACATAGAAGGTATATAAACTCTGGAAAACTTTGTAATTTTGAGTTGGTCTAGTGATGTTTTCCCAGCCTTCTCCCTGTACCTGTTTATGGAAATAAACTCTCTTATTTCCCTGTTCATCTGCATTTTATTATTGGGCCGTGAGAATAAGCAGCCTGACCCTAGGTTTAGTCTGGGAACAGTTGGAGACTTAATTTTAAAAATTTCTACTTATCAATGTAGAAAAATAAAATCTTGCTCCACAATATTTAACAACCAATTAGATTAGAAAATAGTAGTTTTAAAAATTTGCATTAAATTACAGAAGCAAGGCACCATTTACAGTTTTGCTGGGAAGTTTGAACAAATTGGAATTCTACTTGCAGTGTGACAAAATTCTAAATAAACTGGCCTTCCTTCTTCTGATAACAAGCATATAATCTGCATAAAATATAACTACTTGAAAAAGCTCTGAAAAGTGAACAAAAGCAGCAAGATTTTGGAGGGACATTGTAACTTCAGAGACAGACCCACATGGGTTAGTTAGTCATTTAGATACAGTCTGTAATAGCTTTTAGCATTATTTATTGAAAATAGTGACATTTGCATGTGCTCTCCATGGGATTCTCCCAGAGACTCTGCCATTAAAACTAATTTGTGGTAGGATTATGTATATGACAAAATAATATAAAGGACTCTGGCTGAAACTCCATATTGGGCTCCCTGGTTCTGAAGTGTTCTATATACTTTGGTCAGTCCTTATATGAGAAAGTGTGTCTTGCCACAGCCCTTACAGACAGAGGAGACTAGAAACCTGAACTTGGCTTCTCTGATCCCCTTGCTGTAAGACTGCCTTTGACTATGATTCATGTTCTTATTTTAATTCATTGCTATATTGTATTATATTCCTTCAATTAGCTATAGATTTGGAGGCACCATATATTGGGTCCTGTGACTTTTAGTCATTAAGCATGGTTTATCTGTCATTGATAATGCATATGGTATGTTTATTGAGACAGAGTTATAATACATAATTTTAAAAAGACAATTATGATGGCAATTAATTTGTTATGGAACTATACTCACATTATAAAAAATGTTAACTAACATTGTTTTTTTTTTCCACCAATGGAAGATTACAATGAATGATTACAAGTAAAGGTCTCTGCTATGCTGTACTTGCAATACTATATATCTCAAAAACACCACATTGATCTTCTATAAAATCACTTTTTCTTAATCAATATGTAGTAACATATATTTTAGGATAGTAGTTTTCAATTTCCTTATGCATCACAATGTCTTATATCAAATATTGAAAAAATATTAACAAATTAATATGTAAGATGGACTTGCAAAAGACTTCATTTTGATAATATATACAGACACTATGAAACATAGTAATTTGGTATTTTGGTTATTTTATTTTCTATTTCACAGTTCTGGATAAAATTAAGTAAATTATTAATGTATCAGATTAGATTTCGTCTTTCATGGTGATTGTCCCTGATAATATGTGCCTTGCCATTGTACCATAATATTCCTAAGTGACCAGCAGGGTATAAAAACCCCAGCTGAGATTTCATTTTGGGCCCTGCTTCTAAGGTGTTTTGTGTTAGGTAATAAACACCCTATATTGGTGGGTCTTGATCTTACAGGGAATTTGTATTGTTACAGAGGGAGGTAAGGAATCCTGGAGAATTTTCCCCCTAATATGGGACTTTGGAATGTGGATTATCTTAAATTGAAGGCCCTTGAAGGGCAGCAGGTGCTAGAAAAAACTTTACTCTGAAGTTATTTTTCTACCTTAAGGCTTGACTCACCAATTGCCTTCCATCCCCTCCCTGAACAGAAAAGAAGATTGAGCAATGTAACCACACCTGGATAGACTTTTTCACAAAATAATGTCTGCCCCTGGGGCTCATTCAAATTCCAAAGAGAATCATTTACAAACTGTTTTCTTGTCTTAGGGGTGGCTGTACTCATTTACAGCTCCTCTATCACTTCTCTCTCTCTAAGAAAAAAGTATTTAAGCTTCAACCACCTGGCCTTTATTCAAGTTTTTATATTTTTTTGTATGGCTTCCATGCTCATGCAGGTAAAGGAGATTGTTATGCTTTTCTCTTGTAATCTGTTCTTTGTCATAGTGGTGTCAGTGATTACCCTTATGTTAGGGAGGAAAAGGATCACCCCTTTCTGTCTCTACAGAGGATAATTGTAATTCCCATCTGATGTCTCCAGAATTTGGACCCTTTGCTGTTGTGGCAGACTTTAGCTATAATGCATATCCTTACCTTAATGCATTTTCTATATTGTATCCTTTTGTTGTAACAAAATAAATTTGTCAGCTTTGTTATACTGGGTTGATCATGGCTCACTGCAGTCTCATCCAGACTCATCCTTCTGGGCTCAAGCAATCCTTTCACCTCAGCCTCTGGAGTAGCTGGGGCCACAGGCACACACCACCACACCCAGCTAATTATTATTTCTTGTAGAGATAGGGTGTCACTACATTGCCCAGACTCATTTTGAACTCCTGGTCTCAAGTGATCCTCCCATCTCAGCCTCCCAAAGTGGTAGGATAACAGGTGTGAGCCATCATGCCCAGCCCATGAGTACTTTTTGACACTAAACTCTCTTTAACTGCAACCATTGATGTAAAAACCCACATCCTTTTCTTGCTCTAAAGAATCAGAAAATACTTTGAGGAATCCACAGCCTCTGAAATTTGAGAGGGGGAATCCAATTCTGTGTACAGAGTTTGCCTATATCCCTGTGTGATTCCTGAACTACACATGTTGGGGACAGACTGCAAAAAGAACAGCTAATGGATATAATGAATTGAATGGAGTTTTGAGCCACTGCACAAAGCATAGTTTACAGCTTTAATCCAATCAAGTTAAATGCTCAATAAAATGATAGCAACTTCTGCTATTTTCCTCTGAATAACCTCTGTTATTCAGAGAAAGATAACAAACTAGAGTCTGCACAGTATAAGATTACTTACAATGACCAGAATATAATACAATATAGCACTGTTATTCTATAAACAATGAGCTAGAAAAATGTGTACTATTTTCAAAAGAAAAAAAAATAGTGTAGGCCTATCTTGATATGATCCACATGTTGGAACTGGCAAACAAGGACTTTCATGCAATCATTATAACAATGCTAATGAGACAAAGAAAAATGTGCTTGAATGAATGAAAAGACAGGAAGTATCATCAGAAAGTTAGAAACTAGGGGGTGGAGCAAGATGGCCAAAAAAAAAAAAAAAAAAAAAAGACTCTATCAATAGTTCTCCCCACAGGAACACCAAATTTAACAATTGTCTATACCAAAGCAATCACCTTCACAAGAACCAAGTCAGATGAGCACTCACAATAACTGGTTTTAACTTAATATTGATGAAAGAGGTATTGAAGAAGATAGGAAGGAAAGTTGTAAATCGCTGACACCACTCTTCCCCCATCCTCTAGCAGAAGCCACATGGCATGGAAAGAGAATCTGTGCACTTGAAAGAGGGAGAGCACAGCAACTGTGAGACTTTGCATTGAACTCAGTGCTGCCTTGTCACAACAGAAAGCAAAACCAGGCTAAACTCAGCTGATGTTCACCCACAGAGAGAACATTTAGATAAGCCAAGGGGAAATCGCCAACTGCAGTGGTCAGAACTTGAGCTCTGGCAAGTCTTGCTCCTGTGGGCTAAAGTGCTCTGGGGCTCTAACTAAACTTGAAAGGCAGTCATAGACACAAAGACTGTAACTCCTAGGCAAGTCCTAGTACTGAGCTGCTCCCAGAGCTAGTAGATACTGGGGCCACATGACCTTCTGAGACAATAGCCAGTGCAGCTAAGAAGTGCTTGTGGCATTGTCCCCCTTAACCAGAGGCTGTGCAGCTCATGGCTCCAAAATGGACCTCTTCCTTCTGCTTGAGGAGAGGAGAGGGGAGACTAAAGAGAATTTTATCTTGGATCTTGGATACTGGCTCAGACACTGCACAATAGGGCACTGGTCAGAGTTATGAGGCCTCCATTTCAGGCCCTAGCTCCAGATGACATTTCAAGACACACCCTGGGCCAGAAGGGAGCCCACTGTCTTGAAAGGAAGGATGCAGTCCAGGCAGGACCCATCACCTGCTGAGTAAAGACTCCTTGACCCCTGAATAAATAATGATACCTAGGTAGTATGCCACAGGCCTTGGGTGAGACTCCGAGACATGCCAGCTTCAGGTGAGACCCAGCACATTCCCAGCTGTGTTGGCTAAAATGAGAGACTCCTTCTACTTGAGAAAAACAGAGGGAAAAGTAAAGGGGACTTTGTCTTTCACTTTAGGTACCAGCCAAGCCACAGGAGGTAGAGCACCAAGAAAGCACATGAGGTTCCTGCTTCCAAGCATGGGTCCTTGGACCACATTTCTGGCTCCTACCTGAGCCAGATGGGAGCTTACTGTTTTGAAGAGTGAATCCCAGGCCTGGCAGTTTTCACTGCAAACTGACTGAAGGGGCCTTGAGCCTTAAAGGAATATCGGCAGTAGCCTGGCAGTACTATCCATGGTGCTGCGGTGATGGTGGCAATGGGGTGAGGTTCCTCTGTCTGTGGAAAGAGGGAAGGAGGAGTAGGAAGGACTGCTTCTCGTGGTTGGAGTGTCACCTCAGCCACAGTAGAAGAGAACACCAGCTAGATTTCTAAAGATTTTGACTTCAGTCACTGGCTCCCAGATGACATCTATGGAACAATCTGGGCCTGTGAGGAATTTGTCACCTTGAAGAGAAAGAGATAAACCTGGCTGGCTTCACTACCTGCTGATTGTAGAGTCCTGAGGCCTTAAGTGAACATAGACAGTAGCCAGGTAGTGGTTACAGCAGGCCTTGAGCGAGATCCAGTGCTGTGCTGGCTTTAAGTCTGACCCAACGCAGTCCCAGTGATGGTAGCCATAGGGGTGTTTGTGTCACTTCCCAACCACCTCCAGGCAGCTCAGCGTGCAGAAAGAATCTATTTGTTGGGGAGAAAGTAAGGGAGGGGAACAATAGTCTCTACCTGGGAATCCAGGGAATTCCTCCAGATCTTATCCAAGGCCACCAAGGTGGTACCTCTATGAGTCTGCAAGAACCTCAGCATTACTGGGCCTGGAGTGCCCCCTAATGCAGGTATGGCTTAAATCACAACACTCAAGTCATTTCAAATACCTGGAAAGACTTCCCAAGAAAGATGGCAACAAACACACCCAAAATCCAAAAATTACAATAAATACCTAATTCCTCAATGCCCAGACACTGACAAACATGCACAAACATCCAAACCATCCAGGAAACATAACCTACCAAATGAACTAAATAAAGCACCAAGGATCAATGCTGGAGGAGCCAATATATGTGACCTTGTAGATGAAGAATTCAAAATAGCTGTGTTGAGGAAATTCAAAGAAACTCAAGGAACACAGAAAAGGAAATCAGAATTCTATTACATAAATTTAACAAAGAGATTGAAATAATTTAAAAGAATCAAGCAGAAATTCAGGAGTTGAAAAACATAATAAACATACTGAAAAATACATCAGTCTCTTAATAGCAGAATTGATCAAGCAGACAAAAGAATTAGTGAGCTTGAAGATAGGCTATTTGAACATACACAGTAAGAGGAGACCAAAGAAAAAGGAACAAAAAAGAATGAAGCACACCCATAAGATCTAGGAACTAGCCTAAAACAGGCAAATGTAAGAGTTCTTGGCCTCAAAGAGGAGGTAGAGAGAGAGAGAGAGAAATAAAAAGTTTATTCAAATGGATAATATGAGAGAACTTCCCAAATCTACAGCAAGATATCAACATTCAAATACAAGAAGATTATAGAACACCAAGTAGATTTAACCCAAAAAAGGCTACCTCAAGGTATTAAATAATTAGACTCCTCAAAATCAACGATAAATAAAGAATCCTAAAAGTAGCAAGAGAAAAGAAACAAATAGTCTACAATGGAGCTCCAATATATCTGGCAGCAGATTTTTCAGTGGAAACTTTACAGGACAGGAGACAGTGGCATGACATATTTAAGTACTGAAGACAGAGAAACTCTCTCTCAAAAAAGAAAAAAAAAAGAAAAAGAAAATTACCCAGAAATAGTACATCCAGTTAAAATATACTTCAAGAATGAAGGAGAATAAAAAGAATTTCTCAAACAAACAAAAGTTCAGAGACTTTATCAACAGCACACCTGTCCTACAGGAAATGCTAAAAGGAATACTTCAAGGAGAAAGAAAGAAATGTTAATGAGCAATCAAAAATCACATGAAGGTACAAAACTCACTGGAAATAGCAAGTACACAGAAAAACACTGGATATTATAACACTGTAACTGTGGTGTGTAAACTACTCTAATTCTAAGTAGAAAGACTAAAAGATGAACCAATCAAAAATAATAACTACAACAACTTTTCAAGACACTGTCAGAACAGTAAGATATAAACAGAAACAACAAAAAGTTTAAAAGTAGGGGTACAAAATGTAGGTATAGAGCTTTTATTAGTTTTCTTTTGGCTTGTTTGTTTATGCAAACAGTGTGAAGTTATTATCAGGTTAAAATAATGGGTTATAAGATAGTATTTGCAAGACTCATGGTAACCTCAAACCAAAAACACACAATGGATGCACAAAAAATGAAAAGCAAGAAAATAATTATGTAACGCCACTTAAATATGTCATGCCACTCTCTCCTGACCTGAAAGGTTTCCACTGAAAAATCTGCTGCCAGATGTATTAGAGCTCCATTATATATTATTAAATACTACTGGAAAAAAATCACTTTCAATAAAAGGAAGACAGGAAGTAAGAAAAGTAGGAAGAAGAGACCATAAAACAATAAGAAAACAAATCACAAAATGACAGGAGTAAGTCCTCATTTGTCAATAATAACATTGAAGGTAAATGGACTAAACTCTCCAATCAAAAGATATAAAGTGGTTGAATGGATCAAAAATAAGACTACGTGATCTATTGCCTGTAAGAAACACACTTCACCTATAAAGATACATGTAGACTGACAATAAATGGACAGAATTTGTTTCAATTGTCAATGCCAATGGAAACTAAAGAAAAGCAGGAACAGCTATACTTACATCAGACATAATAGATTTCAAGAGAAAAACTGTAAGAGACAAAGAAGTTTACTATACAATGATAAAGAAGTCAATTCAGCAAGGGAGCATAACAATTTAAAAAATATATACCACTTACACTGGAGCACCCAGATATATAAAGAAAATATTGTTAGAGCTAGAGAGAGAAATAGGCCCCAGTACAATAGTAGTTGGAGACTTCACCCTCCACTTTTAGCACCAGACAGGTCTTTGTGGTAGAAAATCAACAAAGAAACATGAGACTTAATCTGCACTATAGAAAAAATGGACTTAATAGGTATTTACAGAACTTTCATCTAACAGCTGCAGAATACACATTATTTTCCTCAGCACATGGATTATTTTCAAGCATAGACCATAAAACAAGTCTTAAAACATTCAACAAAGTTGAAATAATATCAAGCATCTTCTCTGACCACAATGGAATAAAACTAGAAATAAATAAGAGGAATTTTGGATACTACACAAATACATTGAAATTAAACAATATGCTCCTGAATTATCAGTGGGTCAATGAAGAAATTAAGAATAAAATTGAAAAATTTCTTGAAACAAATGATAAAGAAGCACAACATATCAAAAGCTATGGGATACAGGAAAGCATTACTAAGAAGGAATTTTATAGCTGTAAGTGCCTACAACAAAAAAGAAGAAAAACTTCAAATAAATAACCTAAGAATGCATCTTAAAGAACTAAAAAAACAATTCTCACTTATTCATGAGATATAAAAATCAAAACAATTGATCTTATAAACATGGAGAGTAGAAGAATGGTTACCAGAAGCTGGCAAGTATGGTGGGAGACTTGGGGGGACGGGTGACATAGGGTTTGTTAATGGGTACAAAAAATAGAAAAAATGAATAAGACCTACTATTTGATAGCACAACAATGTGATTATAGTCAATAATATCTTAATTGTACATTTTTAATGTGCAATGTACATTAAAACAGTGTAACTGGATTGTTTCTAACTCAAATGATAAATGTTTGAGGAAATGAATACCACATTCTCTGTGATGTTCTTATTTCACATTGCATGTTTGTATTAAAACAACTCATGTTCCACATGAATACATACACTGATGATGTACATATAAAAATTGAAAGATAAAATAAAAATAAAAAGTAAATTACAAAAAAGAGCAAACCAAATTGCAAATTACTAAAAGAAAATAAGTAAAAATCAGAGTTGAAATAAAATTAAAATGAAGAAAATAAAAAGGATCAATGAAACAAAAATTTAGTTTTATGAAAAGTTAAACAAAATTGACAAACCTTTAGCCAGACTAAGTGAGGAAAAAAGAGAGAAGACCCAAATAAAGAACATCAGAGATAAAAAAAGAAGTGTTAAAAATGATAACACAGATATTTAAAGGATTATTAGTGGCTATTAGGAGCAGCTATGTATTAGTTCATTCTCACACTGTTATAGAGAAGTACCTGAGACTGAGTAATTTATTAAGAAAAGAGGTTTAATTGACTCACAGTTCCGCAGGCTGTACAGGAAGCATGGCTTGGAGGCCTCAGAAAACTTACAATCATGGCAGAAAGGGAAGGAGAAGCAAGCACATCTCTCTCTTGTGGAGCACGAGAGAGAGAGCAAAGGAGAAAGTGCCAGACACTTTTAAACCATCAGATACCATGAGAACTCATTCATTATCATGAGAACAGCAAGGAGGAATTCTACCCCAATGAGCCAATCAACTCCCACCAGGTCCCTCCCCCAACACTGGCAATTACAATTCAACATGAGATTCAGGTGGGGACACAGAGCCAAACCACATCCTTCTGTCCCTGGCCCTTCCCAAATCTCATGTCCTTCTCACATTTCAAAACACAATCATGCCTTCCGAAAGGTCCCCCAAAGTCTTAACTCTTTTCAGCATTAACTCAAAATTCCTCGTCCAAAATCTCATCTGAGGCAAGACAAGTTCCTTCTGCCTATGAGTCTATAAAATAAAAAATAAGTTAGTTACTTCCAAGATACAATGAGGGCACAGACATTGGGTAAATGCTCCCATTCTTTTTTTTTTTTTTTTTTTTTTTTTTTTTTTTTTAAGACAGAGTCTCCCTCTGTTACCCAGGCTGGAGTGCAGTGGTGCAATCTTGGCTCACCGCAAGCTCTGCCTCCCAGGTTCAAGCCATTCTCCTACCTCAGCCTCCCGAGTAGCTGGGACTACAGGTGCCCACTACCACGGCCGGGTAATTTTTTGTATTTTTAATAGAGACGGGGTTTCACTGTGTTAGCCGAGATGGAATGCTTCCATTCTAAAAGGGAGAAATTTGCCAAAACAAAGGGGCTACAGGCCCCATGCAAGGCCAAAACCCAGCAGGAGAGTCATTAAATCTTAAAGCTTCAAAATAATCTCCTTTGACCCTATGTCTCACATTCAGGGAATGCTGATGCAAGGGGTGGGCTCCCAAGAGCTTGGGCAGCTCCATCCCTGTGACTCTGCAGGGTACAGCCCCTGCAGCTGCTTTCAGGGGCTGGCATTGAGTGCCTATGGCTTTTCTAGGGGAATAGTGCCAGCTGTCAGTGGGTCTACCGTTCTGGGGACTGGAGGATGATGACCCTCTTCTCACAGGTCTACTAGGCAGTGCCCCAGTGGGGACTGTCTGCAGGGGCTCCCACCCCGCATTTTCCTTCTGCACTGCCCTAGCAGAGGTTCTCCATGAGGACCCTGCCCCTGCAGCAGACTTCTGCCTGGACGTTCAGGCATTTCCATACATCCTCTGAAATCTGGGTGGAGGCTCCCAAACCTCAACTCTTGCCTTCTGCATACCTGCAGGCTCATCACCATGTGGAAGATGCCAAAGATTGTGGCTTGCACGTGCTGAAGCCACAGCCTAGGTGATACCTTTGTCCTTTTAAGCTACAGCTGGAGCAGGAGTGGCTGGGAAGCAGGGTACCATGTCCTGAGGCTGCACAAAGCAGCGGGGTCCTGGGCCTGGCCAATGAAACAAATTTTCCCTCCTAGCCCTACAGGCCTGTGATGTGTGGAGCTGCCATAAAAGTCTCTGAAATACCTTGGAAACATTTTCCCCATTGTCTTTGACATTAACATTCTATTCTTCTTTATCTATGCAAATTTCTGCAGTCGGCTTGAATTCCTCTGAGGAAAATGGCTTTTTTAAAATTTCTACTACATTGTCAGACTCCAAATTTTCCAAACTTTTACACTCTGCTTCCCTTTTAAATGTAAGTTCCAATTTCAAATAATCTTTGTTCATCCATATGAGTGTATGCTTTTCGAAGCAACCAGGCTACATCCTCAATGCTTTGCTTCTTAGAAATTTATTTTATCAGATACCCTCAATCACCTCTCTCAGGTTCAAAGTTCCACAGATCTCAGGAACAGAGGAACAATGCTGCTGGTCTTTTTGCTAAAGCATACCAAGAGTGACTTTTACTCTAGCTCCTGATAAGTTCCTCATCTCCATCTCAGACCTGCCCAGCCTGGACTTCATCATCCATGTCACTATTAGAATTTTGGTCAAAACCATTCAACAAGTCTCTAAGAAGTTCCAAACTTTCCCACATCTTCCTGTGTTCTTCTGAGCCCTCCAAACTGTTCCAACCTCTGCCTGTTACCCACTTCCAAAGTTGCTTCCACATTTTCAGGTATCTTCGTAGCAATGCCCTGCTTCTCTTGTACCAATTTTCTGTGTTAGCTCATTCTCACCCTGCTATAAAGAAATACCCAAGTCTGGGTAATTTATAAAGAAAGAGGTTTAATTAATTCACAGTTCTGCAGCATGTACAAAAAGCATGAGGCCTCAAGAAACTTATAATCACAGCAGAAGTATGAAGTGGAAGCAAGCACATCTTCACA
Source organism: Homo sapiens (assembly GCF_000001405.40). Taxonomy (NCBI): domain Eukaryota; kingdom Metazoa; phylum Chordata; class Mammalia; order Primates; family Hominidae; genus Homo; species Homo sapiens. The sequence continues at coordinate 96,477,656 of NC_000004.12, read as the reverse complement.
CAGCTACCAAAGAGAGAGTGAAAGGGGAAATGCTACCCACTTTTAAACAACCAGATATTATGAAAACTTACTATCATGAGAACAGCAAGGGGGAAATCTACCCCCATGATCCAATCATCTCCCACCAGATCCCTCCCCCAACACAGGGAATTACAAATTGATTCGAGATTTGGGTGGGGACACAGAAGCAAACCATATTACACTACATGCTAATACATGGAAAATTTAGAAAACATTGACAAATGCCTAGACACATACAACATACCAAGATTAAACCAGAAGGAAATCCAAAACTGAACAAAACAATAACAAGTAACAAGATTAAAACTGTAATCAAAATTCTCCCAGTAAAGAATAGTATGGGATCCAATGGTTTCACTGCTGAATTCTACCAAACATTTAAAGAACTAATATCAATCCTACTCAAATTATTTTAAAAAATAAAAGAGTAAGGAATACTTCCAAAATCATTTTATGAGACCAGTATTACCCTGATACCAAAACCAAAGACACATCAAAAACAGAAAACTGCAGGCCAATATCCCTGATGAATGTTGATGCAAAAAGTCCACAAAAAAGTTCTAGAAAACTGAATTCAGCAATACATTAAAGAGATCATTCACCATGACCAAGTGGAATTTTTCCCAAAAATTTAAGGATGGTTCAATCATGCAAATCAATCAATGTGATACAACATATTAACAGAATGGAGGACAAAAATAATATGATCATTTAAAGTGATGCTGAAAAAGCATTTAATAAAATTCAACATCCCTTCATGATAAAAACCCTTAAAAATTGGGTATAGAAGGAACATACCTCAACATAATGGAAGACATATATGATAGACTCAAGATAGATTCATACTGAAAATTGAGAAAAATTGAAAGTCTTTCCTTTAAGATCTGGAACATGACAAGGATGCCTACTGTCACCACTGCTTTTCAACATAGTACTAGAAGTCCTAGCTAGGGCAATCACACGGGAGAAAGAAATAAAGGATATCCAAATTGGAAAGGAAGGTGTCAAATTATCCTTGTTTGCAGATGATATGATCTTATGTTTGAAAAAACCGTTAAGTCTCCACCAAGAAACTATTAGAACTGATAAACAAATGCAGTAGTTACTGGATATAAAATAAACATACAAAAATTGAGAGCATTTCTACATGCAGACAGCAAACAATCTGAACAAGATATCAAAAATTAATCCAACTTAAAACAGCTACAAATTACATAAAATATCTAGGAATTAACCAAGAAGTGACAGATTTCTACAATGAAAACTATAAAATATCAATGCAAAAATTGAAGAGGACACAAAAAATGGAAGACTTTCCATGTCTGTGGATTGAAAAAATCAATATTGTTGAATTTTCCATATTATCCACAGCAACCTACATATTTAATGCAATTCCTATCAAAATACCAATGAAATTTTTAACAGAAATAGAAACAAAATCCTAAAATTTATATGGAACCACAAAACACCCAGACTAGATATAAATATCCTAAGCAAAAAGAACAAAAACAGAGGAATCACATCACCCAACTTCAAATTATACTACAGAGCTAAAGTATCCAAAGCAGCATGGTACTGGCATAAAAACAAACACATAGACCAATGGAATAGAACAGGGAACCCAGAAACAAATTTGCACACATACAGTGAACTCATTTTTGACAAGGGTGCCAAGAATATACACTAGGGAAAGGACAGTCTCTTTAACAAGTGGTGCTGGGAAAACTGGATATCCATATGCAGAAGAATTAAACTAGACCCCTATCTCTTACCATATACAAAAGTCAAATCAATATGATTTAAAGACTTACTCATGTTTGTTGCTGCACTGTTCACAATAGCCAAGATTTGGAAGCAACCTAAACTTCCATCAACATATGAATGGAAAAGGAAATGTGGTACATATACACAATGGAATACTATTTAGACATAAAAAAGAATGTGATCCTATCACTTGCAACAACATGAATGAAACTGGAGGTCATGTGTTAAGTGAAATAAGCCAGGCACAGAAAGACAGACTTCACATGTTCTCACTTATTTATGGAAGCTAAAAATTAAAACAACTGAACACATGGAGATAGAGAGTAGAAGGCTGGTTATCAGAAGCTGGGAAGTATGGTTATCAGAGGCTAGTGTTTGCTAGCACAAAAGGGTGAGTACAGTAAAAAATAATGTAATTGTACATTTTAAAATGACAAAATGAGTAAAATTGGATAGTTTATAACTCAAAAGATAAATACTTGAGGTGATGGATAACCCCATTACCCTGATGTGATTATTACATATTGCAAGCCTGCATCAAAATATCTCATGTAATCCATAAATATATACAATTACTATGTACCCACAAAACTTAAAAATAGAAAAATGAAACTACGTTAAAAAAAGTCTAATGGAAATAACAAAATTGAAAAATATATTTGAACTAATTTGAATATGTTTCTTAACCCTTGAAACTCCACTTTTTTTTCTATAAACTGAACAACACTATAGCATTTCTGTCTACTTTACAATCTTGTTGCTCATCATAAGCTCTTAATAGCTTAAACAAATATGACATACTGTTGCATGTAGAAAGGGCACATTTTAGTTTTTATTTTGCTTACAGATATAACTACATGTACATAATAGATACTGGAAAATAATTAGAAATTTATCAATATTTTATCAATGCCTTAAGATATACTTATTTAATAGTTTGAAAATCTGCATCTTATTTAGAAACTATCATATATACATTAACTATCATATATATATCATCTATATATATATATTAGGGAACTAGCAAGATATACAGTATGAATTATTTTATGCCTACCTGTGTAAATCAAATAAATTACTTATAAGCAATGACAATTTTTGTAAGTTAAGAATAGAGCACATGGAAACAAACATACCAGTTTTTCTGGTGAATCATAGGGCCTTATAATGTGATCAATCTTTATTAATGAAAAATTTGTAAAATGGCAAATTGAGTAAGTGAATTAATGAATACCATCCATCCATGGAGTTCTTTCTCATATTTCTAAAATGGATCCTGCTGTCTGTAGTACACTGACTTTACTTATGCTTAATTCAGTGATCCCATTAGGCCAGAGGCCTTTTGAAAATTGTGGAATTTCACCGCTTTAGATGCCAATAATTCTTGATGGGCCATAATGAGATAATGAAACAACAGAGTGCTCTATGTGTCATTTATCATGTAAGCCGTATATGCCAAACAATCAGGAAAGTTTTACCATTAAAAAAACCCAGTTGTCCTAATGTTTTTGTGTTACAGTGTGATCACTTTATTGTTATTTACATTACCTTCACCAAAAAAATTACATCAAAGTTCAGGGATCCCTTGAATGTACAAGCATTATTATTTTACTACTGGCTATCCATTTGCAGCATTTGACTGTATCTTGGTTTAATCTTTTTCTCACGTTTTAACTAGTCAATTTAATCCTCATTTTCAAAGATAAATAAATTAAATTTGAAAAGCAGGAAAATAAAACTTGTGTAATCCTACTTATTTTCAGGCAAATATTTGTTTTGTCAAACAGAAAATTGCTTTTAAATGAATATTTGTGTGTATCTGAGTTAATGTAGTAAAATGTACTTAAAATCATTATAAATGCCATATTTTTATTTCAGCTGAACAGATAAATTTGGACAAGTGAACATGTGCATTTACACTTCAGGGTTAGAAACCATCTTAAATGAGCTCCGAAGGGTCAGTTTGTAACAAGACTTAACATACATTTAACATGGTGGTAGATCACCACATGATGAGCCAGGTCATCTGAAGCAATAAAACCTAGGGCACTGCTTTTTTACTTCTAATTCCCAAACAACAACATGTGGGCATAATTGGGGAATTTTAAATGATGTAGTTTACTAAGACCTGTGGTGAAAATGACTGTTGTTATTGAGGATTTTTTTGTTTGGTTTTGGTTGTTATTACTAATCTCTTCTTTTTCCCCACTTACTTACTTTTAAAAGATTTTTTTTTTCACCTGAACTACCAAGCAAGACTTTTCGCTTCACTTAACCCAGCTAAGCATTTGTATGTGTGTTTTATCTTTCCAGGCACTCAGATTTCCCAAGGTTCAATCAGACCCATGCCCACAGCACTTTAATTGATAGTGTGCAGTTTCTTCATCTTGCAAAAGAGTGAAGTCATTTTTAGCCTCTATGTAAAATGCATTGTCATTCAAGTCAATAAAATGGCTTTTAGTCTCTGTGCTTTTCAACAATAGGGCACACATGTTCAGCTTTCAGGGAACTCATCATAGAACTTTATTGCTAAAAACTGAATTCCCTCTCATCTGCTAAAAGTATGAGTCAGTTATAATCTTAGTTGACAGTGTGTATCCCATTCAGAGGAAATACTTTTTATAAGTAAATGGCCACTGTTTTTAGATGTCATGCTATATTTTAATAAAATAATGTTGTACAAGAGTGATGCATTGTAAGGGGAAAAGAAAAAAAAAACACCTTATAATAAAGGAGTTACTATCTTGAAATTTTACCCACACTAATTCATGAACCAAAAACAAGAAAACCTGACATTATAGCAGTTGTTGGGGCTCAGAAAATGATACCCCAGATTAAGGAGCTTTGGCATGCAGAGTACATTGAGCTAAAGGACGTTGGAAGACCTCAGAAGCAGCCTCAGAACCAAGGTCTCTGATCTAATCCTGCCCTCCTGTCTCTCACTTCTTATTCTCCCCTGAAGTTAGTCATAGAAACCAGAATTCCTCTTCCCAAAAGTGAGGATAGAAACCCCTTTCCCCAAAGCCAGTCATAAAAACTAGAATTCCTACTTTAACTGTCTCTCACCTTTCTGTCAAAAAGCTGGCCATAAAGAAATTCTCTGACCTACCCATGTGTTATAGTTGGTAATAAGATCCTCATTTCAGAGGTCCTGCCCCATACCTGGGAGGAAGGAATGCCATGCAAAAAGGCCAAGAAGAATCTCAACAAACAGGTGGTGCTGGCTTTTCCCACTCAGTCTGTTACCATTAGATTGTTCACTTTTTGTCCAATCACATTTCTACACAGCTGTCCACTCTTCATCAAAACTAAGCATAAAAGTGACAGTTTTCTCTTGGGCCTTTGGGTCTTCATTTCTGAAGGTTTTGTGTCACATAACACTATGATTAAGTAAATTTGCTATGTTTTTCTTTTATCTTTTGTTGCAGCTGTGACTCATGATGGGTGAGGAAAGATATCACACCCTTTCTGCCCCTACACAGTACAGATGACTGATGAATAACATTTTGCAAAGCTAACAAGAAAACTTTCTCAAAAGTCTCTTACTTCCATCAGAGGTCATGTGACTTATGTTTTATAACAGCTTTTTATTTTACTTGATACAAAGTAAGAACATTAATATAGCAATGTGGAGAGTACAGAAGTCTAAGCTTGATCTATAAAGTAAATGTTTCACCACACATGAGAAAAAAACCTCAGAAATATCATATCAGAAGTAACACATTCAAGACTCATAGAGCTTTCCTTATCTCCAAGAACCACACCCTGTGGTAACACAATTACTGGTCCCTGATTATTTGCATAAAATAATATAACCATTTTTCATACATTATGTAACATGAGCATGTGTTAATCTTACATGTTTTACCTTATTTTATAAACATATGTATATACATAAATGCTATTCCCTAATAATAAATAACAAAATATACTTAACACAACAAAGAGAAAAACTTCTTTAGTTTCATCATGATTTGTTTTGGAAAAATTAAAGGAATATTTCTACTCTCATTTTGAGAATATATTTTAAAACTATTCAAGGTATAAAGGCAATAATATACCCAATATTGTGTAAGAAAAAATTTAAGACATTTGAAATAAAAGTGTTTCTAAAGGAAAACTATGAATTATTTAGGACAAACCCTTCCAATTTATTTGATCCTTTTAGGAACTCTGTGCCTTTCATTTACTTAAAAGTTATTTTGTAACACTAAGTTGTAAATAACTGATATCAATGCAAAATAATTCCTGTGTATAGGTATGCAAACAAATTCTGTGGAAATTCACTTGCGTTCCCTCCTCAACTGCATTAGAAGTAAGTTTTGCATCTGTTTGCAGATTTATTCAACATTCCAGATCTATAAATCGCTCTTCTTTGGATTCTTCTTTGAACCAGTTGTAGCTTATTTCCAGTACTCTCATTTAAATAATGACTTAAATCTTTGATCTGTGTTCATTTTATTAATATGTGAGCCATAATTCTTACTTGAAAATTATTTTTTATCTTAGGTACATTCCAGAATTATATTTTCAAAATTATAATAAAACTAGACATTTAGATTTGAAGGTAGTAAAACAAAAAACATAAACAAAAAGTATTCATACACCTCAGTAAAGTTCTAATCACCAAAAACACACTGAGTAAGAAGGGAAGACAGAATTGGGATGCAAGAAGGAGCACTTTTGGATTTCTTCCTTTGATTTGTTTAAATCTGCCAACATGTTCCTTATCAGTGAACTGGAAATGAGCGATTGCTCTCAAGTAGATGCCCTGAAAGGTTCAGAGATCAAAAGAACACTCATTTTGTTGTTGAACATGGCAAAACAGAATTGTAAGTAGAGGGCTGCAGACAAGACAACATGTCAAGAACTAGGAGGCAAGAAAAACTTGAAATTGAAAGAATCACATAAAGAGAACAAGGATAGAAAAAACAACAACATGTACTACTAAGTTCAAGCATGAAGGGAACATAAAAAATTAGATGGAGAGTTACCATCTGGACATTCCATTATTTTAGTTTTATTTTATTTTATTTTATTTTATTTATTTTATTTTATTTTATTATTTTTGAAACAGAGTTTCACTCTTGTTGCCCAAGCTGGAGAGCAATGGCAAGATCATGGCTCACTGCAACCTCCACCTCCTGGGTTCAAGCAATTCTCCTGCCTCAGCCTCCCGAGTAGCTGGGATTACAGGCATGCACCATCATGCCTGGCTACTGTTTTGTATTTTTAGTAGAAACGGGGATTCACCATGTTAGCCAGGCTGTTCTTGAACCCCTGACCTCAGGTGATCCACCCACCTCAGCCTCCCAAGGTGCTGGATTACAGGCATGAACCACCACGCTCGGCCCCATTCTTGTATTTTTAACTTGTTTCAGTTCAGTCTTCAGATGCAAACGAAGAATGAGCAATAGTATTAATATGCAGACATCAAATCATCTGAAGAAACATAAACTCTATCAGGTTTCAAAGAAAAAAAAAGGAAGTTTATCTTTTTCTCTAAAGTTCCCTTCCACTTTCTAGAAATAAGTGAGCATTAGAAAATGGTCTGCCCTTTATTTCCTAAACCTGTGGTCTTCATATTAGACAGCAATTTACCTTTCCCAGAAGACTTTCTTATGGATACCCAAGGATGTAATTTAAAAATAATCAATTTCTGATTCCTCAACTTCCACTTATAGAAAGTGATTTGCCTGCGAATGTGTTTCCCGTAGGTTTTCCAGGTCTCATCCTCTTTCCTAAAATTCTTTTACTTAGGAAGGCATACCTTTTACTCAAACTAAATTTTAGTATTGTGTACGGACCCAGGGTTAAGCACCGCAAGCCTCAAAGAAAAGGGCACATTAAATTACTCAAACCATCTGATACGGTTTGGCTCTGTGTCCCCACCCAAATCTCATCTCAAATTGTACTCCCATAATTCTCAAGTGTTGTGGGAGAAACTCAGTGGGAGATAACTGAATCATGGGGATGGTTTCTCCCATACTGTTCTCGTGGTAGTGAATAAGTCTCATAAGATCTGATGGTTTGATAAAGGGAAACCCGTTTCACTTGGCTCTCAGTCTCTCTCTTGCCACCACCATGTGATGTGCCTTTCACCTTCCAAAATGATTGTGAGGCCACCCCAGAGACATGGAACTGCAAGTCCAATAAATCTCTTTCTTTTGTAAATTTCCCAGTCTCAGGTATGTCTTTATCAGCAGCATGAAAATGGACTAATACAGTAAATTGGTTCCAGTAGAGTGGGGTATTGCTGAAAAGATACCTGAAAATGTGAGAGTGACTATAGAACTGGGTAACAGGCAGAGGTTGGAGCAGTTTGAAGGGCTCAGAAGAAGACAGGAAAATGTGGGAAAGTTTGGAACTCCCTAGAGACTTATTGAATGGCTTTGACCAAAATGCTAATAATGATATGAACAATGAAATCCAGGCTGCAGTTGTCTCATATAGAGATGAGGAACTTGTTGAGAACTGGAGCAAAGGTGACTCTGGTTATCTTTTAGCAAAGAGACTGGCAGCATTTTACCCCTGCCCTAAAGATTTGTGGAGCTTTGAACTTGAGAGTGATGATTTAGGGTATTTGGCAGAATATATTTCTAAGCAGCAAAACATTCAAGAGGTGACTTGGGTGATGTTAAAGGCATTCAGTTTTAAAAGGGAAACAGCATAAAAATTCAGAAAATTTGCAGACTGGCAATGTGAAACAAAAGAAAATTCCATTTTCTAAGGAGAAATTAAAGCTGGCTGCAGAAATTTGCATAAGTCAGGGGAAGCTGAATGTTAATCACCAAGGCAATGGAGAAAATGTCTCCAAGTCATGTCAGAGACCTTGCAGCAGCCCCTCCCATCATAGGCCCAGAGGTTTAGGAGGAAAAAATGATTTTATGGGCTGGGCCCAGGGTCCCTCTGCTGTGTAGAGTCTAGGAACTTGGTGTCCTGTGTCCCAGCCACTCCAGCTGTAGCTAAAAGGGGCCAAGGTATAACTCAGGCTGTTGCTTCAGAGGGTGGAGGCCCCAAGCCTTGGCAGCTTCTATGTGGTGTTGAGCCTGTGGGTGCAAAGAAGTCAAGAATTGAGGTTTGGGAACCTCCACCTAGATTTCAGAAGATGTATGGAAACACTTGGATGCCCAGGCAAAATTTTGCTGCAGGGCCTGGGCCCTCACAGAAAACCTCTCTAGGGCAGTGCAGAAGAGAAATGTGGGGTGGGCACCCCTACACAGAGTCCCCACTGAAGCTCTGCCTAGTGGAGCTGTGAGAAGAGTGCCACTGTCCTCCACACCCCAAAATAGTAGATCCACTGACAGCTTCCATCATGCTCCTGGAAAAGCCACAGACACTCAATGCCAGCCTGTGAAAGCAGCTGGGAGGAAGGCTGTTCCCTGCAAAGCACAGGGGTGGAGCTGCCCAAGACCATAGGAACTGACCCCTTGCATCAACATGACCTGACATGAAGTTAAAGAAGACCATTTTAGAGCTTTAAGATTTGACTGCCCTGCTGGATTTCAGACTTGCATGGGGCCTTTAGTCCCTTTGTTTTGGCCAATTTCTCCTATTTGAAATGGCTATATCCACCCAATGCCTGTACCCCATTGTATCTAGGAAGTAACTAACTTGCTTTTGGTTTTACAGGCTTATAGGCAGAAAGGACTTGCCTTGTCTCGGATGAGACTTTGTACTGTGGACTTTTGAGTTAATGCTGAAATGAGTTAAGATTTTGGGGGACTGTTGGGAAGGCATGATTGGTTTTGAAATGTGAGGACATGAGATTTGGGAGGGGCCAGGGGCAGAATAATATGGTTTAGCTCTGTGTCCCCACCCAAATTTCATCTTGAATTGTCTTCCCATAATCCCCATGTGTTATGAGAGGGACCCATGGGCAGTTTCCCCCATACCGTTCTCATGGTAGTGAATAGGTCTCAAGAAACCTGATGGTTTGATAAGTGGAAACCCATTTCGCTTGGCTCTCATTCTCTCTTTTGCCACCACCAGGTGAGATGTTCCTTTCCCCTTCCACCATGATTTTGAGGCCTCCCCAGCCATGTGGAACTGTAAGTCCAGTAAACGTGTTTCTTTTGTAATTTGCCCAGTCTCAGGTAAGTCTTTATCAACAGTGTAAAAACGGACTAATACATCGTCATAAATTTTCCTGGTAGCTATCATTCCTGTCACATATGTATTTCTGTTAGGAATAAAGTATAGCTTTAAATCAACATCAGGATCTGTGAGGATATTCTCTTTCAGACTTCAAATATTATGGAATATACTTAATGCGAACTGTGGAAATAAAGAGACTGGCTTAGGAAGTCTTCTACTTCTAACTAAATTTTATTTTTCTTTTCTCATCCCAACATTCTTCCAACATATCTCATGTTACATTTTAAAATTTTCATTTGGCATTTTAAAATTCTACTTTCCTTGTAGTTTAGTTTTGATTGACTTTTTGAAGCAGTGGGCTGATACTTGAGTAAGACGTTTCTTATTGAGAAAACAACATACATTTGGATAATCTGGTTTCTGTTTTATAGTTGAATATCAGGACTGCATATGTCTGTGATGTCTGTGTGTAATATGACATTTTAAATGCCTTATTTTACTCTCTATTCTGGGTAGGACTTTTATTTCTAGAAGATGATATTTTAACACAAATACATTTAGTATTTTAAGCTTATCATTCAAGTTATAGTTCTTCCCAATATATCATTACAATTCTTTTAAAAAAACTACAACAATACATAATACTAAGCTTCTCTATAGTGCTAGCACATGGGGGATTGTTTTAACATCTATCAGACAAAAGATGAATTGTTAAAAATAGTTTTGTTAGGTATAAATGTTGATGCTTAAAACAGAGCAAATATGCTAATCAAAAGACAGCCACAATATATTTCATTTTCATCTATCATATTCCCCTGAATTCAGAGTTGTGAGGTATATAAAATCAGAAAGTTATACTCCAAAGGCATTGGTTTCTAAGGGCACTGATTCAGGTACCTGTGTTATCTGCACTTCATCCTTTCCCAGCACAACTCTACATCCATTTGTGATTCAAAATGCCCACAGAATATGGATAAGAAATTAGGAAATGAAAATCATGGTTTTGGTGGTGGATTTTAAAAGTTGTTCCTTTAACATTAAGACCAGGGTTGGGATAGGTATAGTCCTGATAATTAATGTTTCATGTTGAAGACCTTGGTTACTTAACTAGAGAAGCTTACGCTTAAATTGACCAAAATGCAGACAATAAAATTATGGAATAATCTTAAACCTGGGGAGCTAAATTAGATGATAATTTGTAGGCAAACTGAGCAAGTGTGAGAAACTTCAACCTGTACTCCAACTCTGAGTTTGAATGGGAAATTAATATCATCCAGAGAACAGTGAGTAGGGACAAACATCATTTTAAAAAATAAATAAATAACAAGTCTGAAAAATCTTGCCTTGAAAGATAATTAAAGGTAGGAAATCAAAACCAGCAATAGGTGGACTATGAAAACAAATTCAAACATTACGGAAATAGATTATGGATCATCTATATGGCTGAGAGGAAAAGTATATAATTCACTCTCATTTTGGATGGAAAATCAGCCTCTGTCTCCACTAAAAAGGAGCAGAGATTTTGGTTTATTTGTTTTAGTTTTTACTAGTCAAGTGAATCAGTGAGAGTAAAGAAAAAAAAATCTGTAACTGGTTGTGATAAATTAGTTGTAAGCATTACTGCACTTGGATAAGCCAAAAAGGCTCTAATGCTCTACTTCTCTGAAGAAATATGGTGAAACCATTTATATATCCGAGATATTTACCTGGTGAAATATGTTGACATGTTTCAAATATATATTGTCAGCATTTTTAATATTTACTAAGTTAACATCACTTCTGTTTCTGACTATGGAAAAACTTTATCTTTTCTATAAGAGCATCATGAGATTCCTCCTTGCCTACAGATAACAAAGGATAGGTTAGGTTATGTCTGTTTATAACAGAAATCTTACAAGTTTAACGGGTTTATACAGAATTCAGTATGATAAAGGAGGAGATGAAAGAAACTACAACTCTAAGACTTATCTTGGATACCTACAAAGCAGAATAATGCAGAGACACAAAGCAAAGGTATGGAGAAGATGTTGTCTGTAATGTAAACAATAAAACAATGAAATTAGGAACGTGAGAAAAAATGTGGTGTATACAGAATAGAGAGAACTAAAGCTAAATGTCAAAATTTTACTTCTGGAAATGGCAGAATAGCTTCTGTCAAAGTAACTTTACTGCAGATAGCAATTATTGAATCTGAAAAAGCATTTTTCAAAGCAACAGTTTGAAAGCACTAGAGAAACCAAAATCAGGCCAAAACTAGAGAATAGTTGACTCTTTAAAGAACAGAACTGTGTGGGGTGAAATTAATGTTTATATGGCTTGCCACTGAAGCCACTGTGAGTCGACTGGCTGCAGAGTTGCTATAACTGAAAAAGAGACACACAGCTCCACGGATAAGAGGATGAACTACACCACTACAGTGTCTGGAATGTGGTGTTTGGTAGGGCAGGGGGAGGGTGGGCATAGAGAGAAAGAGACACCCAAGATATATCCCACAAAATTTCAATTCTAACTTTACCTAAATCCTTGGCTGGCCCCAGAACAGCACATGTGTGGTCAAGATGCCAAGAACACTAGCAAAATCAAATGTGGGAGGCCTGAAAGAATGACAGGAGAAACAAGTTTGGAATTTGAGTCTAGTTAAATTAACCATCTGTTTGAAGAGATATTAATACTCTTCAGAGGAAGATAAATAAACCTAAATTCTTTACACCATATCAAATATAGTACCAAGTATAGAAGAAAAGAATGGTAATATTGCAGAAAAACCAAGAGAATAAAAATCTTGGAAGCAGGTAGAAAAAAATAAAATACATATTAAATGTGAAAGAAGCCATAGACACAGTGGCTGACTTCTCATCAGAAGCAATAAAGGAATGATGACAAATGTAGAGGAGGAAAAATTTTGTTGCTCCCTCATCACTAGGTTCATGGCTGAGATCCCTATAACAACAAAAAAAGATTAACAAGAACAAAGATTATACATTTATTTAATGTAAGTTTACTTGACTTGAGACACACTTTATAAGGAAATTAAGACCTAAAGAAACAGAAAAATCTGTATATTTTATGCTAACTTTTATAAAGAAGTGGATAGTTGTGGAGAAGTATGGTTGGAGAAAGAGAATGTAAACTAATAGTAATAAACTGGGGAACACTTAGAAAAGCCTATTTGTTCATATTCTTCTCTATGTCCCTGTGTTTTCTGAAATAAAGACATTCCTTTCCTTTGCATAGAGGGTGGGTACCACTGCAGTGAGAGCTTTATGACCTGCTGCCTGGTAGAAAGGCAGGAGGAAAGTGAGAGTGACCTTCCTGCTTCTAGGGTTTTCTTAAATACAATGGTTCCATATTTGGGGGTATCATGTCCTAAATCCCATTACAAAGAAAGCACATTTTTAAAGTGCCTAAATACATTTAAAAATAAATAAGTAAACCCTATCAACCAAGAATCTGGTAACCAAAAAAGTCTTCCAAGACCTAACAACAATTTTAGGTAAGTAAAAATTATATTAGTTATGAAGGACCTTGCACTTCAAGAAATGATAATTATGATCTGCAGGCTGAAGGGAAATGCCAACAAATGGAAACCAAGATCTACAGGAAGAAAGGAAGAGCAGTAGAAATGATAAATATGTGGAAACATATATGCTTATCCAGTTAAATTTGTAGGTCATGTCAGGAAATCACATGCTTCTATATTCTCTTTGTAGGAGGAGGAAAAGCTAATGAAAAAGGTTTGAAATAAATGATATGCAGAAATAAACTCTTGGGAACAGTGTTTCTCTGCATTGGTTGCTTAGTTGAAGTTGGAGAAATTTATGGTGTTGGTCAAAATTTTTCCAGGAGTACTCAGCAGCCTTGATACAGGCAGAAAGGTCAACAAGTAGAATTTTTCAGGAAGGGTGGGCAAAAGAAAATGAAATCACGAATACTGTCAAGAGAATAAGTAATGGACTGCAGAATCTAACTGGACAGTAAAGGAAAGAAAAACAGGAGAATTTTGATGGGGAAAAATGGAAAAGTGGTCAAGGAGTTCCTGTGAGGTCCAGAAACGCAGTTAGTTGTTTGGCTAACCTCCATGCCCAGTGAAAACATCTTCAGTGGTAGGCAGGTTTGGGTTAGAAAGAACTACGTGCCATAAACAAGATGACACATTTTCACAGTACAAGGGATAGGAACCAGGTCAGTAAACTACGATTAGAAAAAGAGATAGAATGAGGCATAATCTTCAAAGTGGGAAACTTAATCATGAGGGTACATGTGGAATGCTTAGTATGTAGCAGTTGGCACATGGAAGAACATTAATCTTGAGAACTCTAGTAAGGGGAAATAAGTAGTTTCCATCTCTCAGGGTTCTGGGCAAGTATTAATCACAGCAGGGAGATTTTTGTTTTGGCTTTTTAAGTTGGAAAATGGGGATTCCTAGAAAGTATACTAAAAAGAATTCAAAGGGAAGAGAAAATTGGACATTAGTATCAGGATGAGAGTACAAGGGCTCACATCTTGAGTGGTGACCAATAATAACGGAGTTGTGAGACATGGTAGGTGCAGTTGTTCTTAAGAATCCTTCACGATAGGCCGGGCGCGGTGGCTCACGCCTGCAATCCCAGCACTTTGGGAGGCCGAGGTGCGCAGATCACGAGGTCAGGAGAGCGAGACCATCCTGGCTAACACGGTGAAACCCCGTCTCTACTAAAAATACAGAAAATTAGCTGGGCATGGTGGCACGCATCTGTAGTCCCAGCTACTCGGGAGGCTGAGGCAGGAGAATGGCATGAACCCGGGAGGCGGAGCTTGCAGTGAGCTGAGATACACCACTACACTCCAGCCTGGGCGACATAGCAAGACTCTGTCTCCAAAAAAAAAAAAAAAAAAAAAAAACACATATCCATCACAATAAACCTATTGGGTAGAGGATTGCTGTCAGGGCATGGAGGTTCAAGGGTGTGAGCACTGGTCATTGCCAATAGCAGTCTGGGCTCTTTGAACTGGAGCAGAGCCTTCGCTTGGCTGTATGCTTGAGAGAATACAGAAGTAAGGTCAAAGTGGTGATGATGGTAAGGACATTTTGGAAGACTGTTGTGTGGATTTCAGTGTTAGGCAAAGCAGAGCCATCTGTTCAAACCTACTCCAAATACATGGAGACAATGCTATTATGATTGTGATAATGTCACAATCTACTTATTTTAGATCAGGGGAACATTTTTCTAACTCTTCTGATTTATTTCTTATGTCTCTAGATAGAAACTGTCATTAATAGTAAGCTTGTGACTCAAAGTTTAGGACTTTTTCTGTAATGCTAAGAATTTAAAAGATTTTTTAAAAAATAAATGACATTCCCTCAGTGTTTTTCTGACTATTATCATTACTTATCATTACTTCTTTAATGTATCTCAGGAGTAATTTGCTAAACAGATACCACAAAATTGACCTCTGAGTCAATTGGTGGTGGTTACTATTTTTCTTGATTCAGTCTCTGAATATGCTTCTTCATGGACTCTCCTCCCCTCTTCCTTTCCCATCCTTTCCTTTTTTCATTTCTTATTTTTCTTTTTAGAAATTTCCGTTGTCTTTCTTTTCCCTGATTTTCTTCACCTTTCTCTTTGTCTAATTCTTTTGGAGGTATGTGTTTAACAATATCGTTTGGGCTAAAGTGTCAAGTAGCTCATGTTTTGAGGTTTATAAGTCCCTTGTACAATAAATCGGAAACTCATGAAGACGGAAAAGGAGGAGTATTCTGATAAACTGGTGAGAACAATACTGAAAAATAAAGTCAGGGATAAAGAGTGACATATGGCAACACAGAACAAAAACATTAAAAATGAAGAATTCATTTATAATTTCTATAAATGTGTATATTAAGTACCTCCTAAGAAACAGAAATCACTCTATAGATTGAGAGTAAAATAAAAACATTGCCATAAAGTAACTAATTATAATCCAAAATAGTAGGTATATTTATTTAGTCACAGTCCGCTTGGCATGTCTCCTTACCATATTGTATTATAAGTATTATTTCTTATCTAATTACTTGATTAACCACAGTTTATATCTTGATCTGTTCTTTATACTGAAACCTCCTAAAAGTTTATGTTGTTTGGCAAAGTCACAAAAGCCTACTAGGAGAAAAATGATTCTTTCAGCTGAACTAGCAGAAACGAGAGAAACTATTACCCCAGGGACAAAAGAAATAAAGTTAAAAGCCAGAGGGGAGTGAGCTTACTATATACAATATACCAAAAGGAATAACTATTTTGAATCTGACAACAGTGGGAATTATTGGTAGTCACTTTGTTGAAAGTTGAAACATAGATAAGCGGAGAGAAATACCCGTAGAAGATAAAGTTAACAGCTAATAGTTTTTATAATTTAGAAAATTTTCTGAAAATTACTTTCTATATATTAAAATTTTACATAGCATATTTTTACACTCATTTGAGACTAAATTTTAGCTTCAAATATATTTCTCTACACTACTATAATTATTTGACATATATGACATTATTTTCATTATAATAGAATTGTAAAGCAAAAATACAATTTTGATTTTGAAGGAGTTAAATTGAATACCAATACTCTGTTCATAATTTCCTAGAAATTTCAGTTACAAATTTCTGAATGGTACTTCATTAAATGATAATTTTAAAATTCAGAAATGTCATTGAACATACAGATTATATCATTGAAAGGGATTAAATATCTCTTTAAAATTCTTCTCCCATAATATGAATCTTCTGCCTATTCTCTTCTCAGAAAATGGCAATATGAGATTTCTAATATTCAGACCAAAACCTTGAGAATCTTCTAAGACTTCTCTCATTGATTTACCTCTCATTTCAACATTTCGACAAGTTATTGAGATTCCATCTCCTAAATATCTCTCAAATACATCTCAGTTGAAAATTTAATGATGAATTACCTTGGAGTATATAATTAAGGGCATGTCCTTGGTAATACATACTGTCAAAGTTCTTTTCTATCTTCTTCTACCTTTCCACATTGTCAACTCTACTTTAACCCCACAGTGAACAAGTAACCACCCTATACTCTATTTATTATAAATATTTGTCATTCAATGAAAGCACACTTTCAAATTTATTGCAAATGTCGATGCTTGTGCCTATTCCTGTAGTATCTATTCCTCATGGTTTTGGCTTTCAAAATCTTAGACTTTTTTTTTCAATTCTCCTTCATAAAGCTTTCCAGGATGGCAACAAATCCCTGCATACACCACGATATTCTGTGATTGGGGCATTTGGTGTATGGCAATAAAGGAATGCACTGTGCCAACTAAGTCTAGGACAAATAGGAAGAGAGGGAGGACAAGGAGATATGGAAAGGAAGAGAAATAGAGAGAAAATATGTAGAAGAAATGTTGGCTTCTTGATACAGTTCATTGAAGGTAAGGAGTTTCATCTATCTCTAGAAATAGTAAGTTGAATTATTGAGAATAAGCTCAAGGTCCATATCAGTTTTCAATTTATTTATTTATTTATTTTTTTGAGATAGAATCTCCCTCTGTTGCCCAGACTGGAGTGCAGTGGTGCAATTTTGGCTCACCTCAACTTTCACCTCCTGGGTTCAAGTGATTCTCCTGCCTCAGCCTCCTGAGTAGCTGGGATTACAGGTGCACACCACCATGCCCGGCTAATTCTTGTAGTTTTAGTAGAGATGGGGTTTCACCATGTTGGCCAGGATGGTCTCGAACTCCTGACCTCAAGTGATCCATCTGCCTCAGCCTCCCAAAGTGCTGGGATTACAAGCATGAGCCACCGTGCCCAGCCTAAATTTATATTCTTATTGGATCATTCAACATGCATTTGCAATTATAAGTAGCATTATA
This sequence comes from Homo sapiens, assembly GCF_000001405.40. Classification (NCBI taxonomy): domain Eukaryota; kingdom Metazoa; phylum Chordata; class Mammalia; order Primates; family Hominidae; genus Homo; species Homo sapiens. Next base: position 96,459,931 of record NC_000004.12, on the reverse strand, counting down.
GAGATATCCAGTGTAAACTTTACCCAGTTTCACACAGTAACAATTACAAAAAACTCTAGTACAGCTTCACAACAAGGATGTTGACATTGATAAAATCTACTGAACTTATTCACATTTCTAGTTTTGTATTCATTTGTGTGTGTGTGTGTGTGTGTGTGTGTGTGTATGTATGAGTGTTTAGTTCTAAACAATTTTATCTCATGTGTAAGTTTTTGTACCCACTACCACAGTCAAGATATGGAACAATTCCAAAACCACAAGGATCCCTTCTGTTGCTATTTAAAAACACATAAACCTCTCCAACCCACCCTTGTCCCTAACCCCTGGGCAGCCACTAACCTATTACCCATTTCTAAAATATCATAATTTCAAAATATTGTATAAATAGAATCATAAAGTATGTAACCTTTCAGAATCAGATTTTTCCACTCAGTATTATTGTCTGGATAATCATCTAAGTTGTCATGTATATCAATAATTTGTTCCTTTTTAATGCTAACTAGTACTAATATGATATATATTATGACAGTTTGTTTAACCATTAGTCAGTGAAGAACGTCTATACTGTTTATAGTTTTTGGCTATTACAAATAAAGCCACTATATACAGTCATATGCATGTTTTTGTGTCAACATAAGTTTTCATTTCTCTGGGATAAATCACCAAGATTAAAATATCTGGGTCATATGCTATTTGCATTTGAGTTATACAAGAAACTGCAAACTTGTTTTGTATAGTGGTTGTAACATTTAACATTCCCATCAGCAATGTATGAGTAATTTAGTTTCCCTTTATCCTCACACATTTGGAATTGTCACCATTTATTTTTTTAGTCATTCTGTTAGGTATGTAATGATATTTAATTATGGTTTCAATTTGCATTTTCCTAATGGCTAAGGATGTCATACCTCTGTTTATCTCCTTATGTGCCAACTGTACAGCCCCTTCAGTGAAATATCTATTTTTTATTTTAGTTTTCAGAGTTCTTTATATATGCTACTTACCTATTCTTTGCCAGATATGTGGTTTGCAAATATTGTTTTCCAACCTCTTGCTTGTTATTTCATCTGCTTAACAGGGTCACCAAGAAAACTATTTTTCATTTGGATGGAGTCTCAAGTTACTAATTTTTTCTTTTATCAATCATGCCTTAAGATCAAGAACTGTTTGCCAGTTCTAGATCTCAAATATTTTCCCTAATGTTTATTTCTAATAGTTTTATACTTTTCCATTTTACATTTGTCTTTGTTATATTTTCGAATTAATTATTATAAAAAGGCTTAAGATTTATGTCGGGGGTTATTTTATTTTATTTTTTGCCCATGGATGTCCAGTTGTTCCAATACTACGTGTTGAAATGATGTTGAATTAAATTGAATCAGATTTCTCTGTTTGTTTTTTAGACCTTTGTCAAAAATTAGTTGAGAGTATTTGTGTGGGTCTAACTTCTAAGTTCTATATTCTATTCCAGTCTGTTTATACCTCCTCCAATAACATGCTGTCTTAACTACCATAGCTATGTAGTAAAACACAGTATCAGGTAGAGTGCTTTTTCTCACTTTATGCTTCTTTGTCAAAATTATTTTTAGCTTTTGTAACTTCTGTGCCTTTCCTTTCTTTTTTTTTTTTTTTTTTTTGAGATGAAGTCTCGCTCTGTTGCCCAGGCTGGAGTGCAGTGTCGTGACCTTGGCTCACTGCCACCTCTGCCTCCCAGGTTCAAGTGATTCTCCTGCCTCACCCTCATGAGTAGCTGAGATTGCTGTGTTCCACTGCTCCCAGCTAATTTTTTGTATTTTTTTTAGTAGAGATAGGGTTTCATTATGTTGGCCAGGTTGGTCTTGAACTCCTGACTTCATGTAATCCACCCGTCTAGGCCTCCCAAAGTGCTAGGATTACAGGCGTGAGTCACCATGCCTGGCTGTCTTTCCATTTTATTTTTTGGACTAAGTTTGCTTGTATTTACCAAAAACCTTGCTGGAATCTTAAAAGAAAATCAATAGCTCAATTTTGAGTGAACTAATACTTTTGCCATGAAGAATATTCCAATGCATGAATGCAATATATCTTTCACCTAGTTTAGGTCTTCTTTGACTTACTGGTGTTTTATAAGGGGCATATGGATGCTGTATATATTTGTATTAAGTATATACCTAAGTACTTTTTAAATTTTTTATTTGGAGTAATTGTTATTTTATTTTTTAAATTTTATTTATTAAAATAATTTCCACTTTTATTTTAGATTCGGGGAGGAACAAGCCTATGTAGTCTTCCTTCTATTGGTAGGTTCTGGTTTTGGAAACACTGGGATTGGGTCACTTTCTTCTGTTGGGTAACATGCAGGACACTTTGCTGCTATACTGTTTCTCTAGTTCTGTGGTACTAAATCAACTCACCTTCCTCTTACCAACTTTTCAAGCTCTCAAGCCCCCTTTTGTGTTATCTCTAAGGTTTTTAGTTATATTTTGCTGGGAGAAGCTGAGAAAAGTGAGTCTACAAGAACTTGTCCAGATTCCCATATCATTTTAATTCCAGGAAAATGTCTGCCCTTGTCCAGAATTTAATACATGTCAAATAGGTTGCAATAAATTTATTTAAAATCTGCAAGAAAATATGTTTGGTTTTGTAGACTCAATAATGGACAAGGCCTGTATATTTCAAAATGGAAAAGAAAATACCAGCTTTGTGTTTTTATTATTTTATAAACACCTCTTTGATTATAGCATTCACAGCTGAACCTAATAGATGGATGAGCAGGCTATTGCTTCTGTGGGTATCTAAATGGCAGTTAGTTCTGAAGTTTAGAAAATCAAGAAGAGGCAGAACAGGACTCTACTTGAAGATTATTTGTAAATAGGGACCCCAACGAGGTGAAGAGTAATTATGAGAATGTAGATGAAAAAAATTGATATGATTTAATCCATTTTAAAATGTCATAAAGAGTGAAATGACCATTTTTATTTAATATTCATTTTATAAAATATATTAGTTTGACAAATTTATTTTTGGTACATTGTGGAGGTTAAAAGCACATGTGTGCCCATTGTTTTAAATGGCAAGTTTTTCAATAATAATACAGAGGAAACTGAGGATGTCATCAAGATTTGAAAAATTAATGATACCTTGATAAAAGCAGTTGTGGGAAGTATAGCTCAGTAAATTAGGACCTCTTTACTGCCAGATACTAAATTTGAGAGTTGAAATCATTCACACAGCTCACTGTTCACATTATCAGGATCTTACTATTCCACTGATTTTATCAACATAACTTTACTGTTGCCCAACAGAAGTTGCAAATAAGTGTATTGTACATTCCAAGAACTTCTTGAAACATGCTATATTTAATACAAATTATCAAATGCCAATTATACATCAAGACTCTGAACGCTCACCTCAAAAATTTCTATCTTCCTATGTCTGTCAATCCCTAAATCATTATATCACGATTCTTGCCCAATCTTAACAAAGCCATCTTTCATTGAATGACCTGTCTTGAACTACATTTAAATATCTTAAAAAGTATCCCAATTTTTTCCTCTTCTTTCTGAGATGCGAATAAGCATATTTTACAATGGTGTTCTCCCTTTCTAGAGTACGCAATAAACACAGATTTGTCTTTCCAAGGAATTGTATTGGTGATATTTGGTGTAGCAAACACTTGACAATTAATATTTAATAGTGGCTATAATTAACCATTCAAAAGGATTAGTAACTATATTTCCACTGTAGGGGTGTTTCTTATGCACACATATACTCTAGAACCTGCCATGGATCATGGCAATATAATTTTTCCAGTGCTAACTGTGTAGCAGCCATCATGCTAAGTGATTTATAGGCATTATCTCAACTATCCAATGAGATATGTACTGTTAACATCATCATAATCCACATTTTCAAAATGTGGAAACTAAAGCACAGAGAAGTTACACAACAATAGTAAGTTTATGTCGTGGGTAGCAGTGGCAGGACTTGGTCTGAGTGTGTCAGGTTCCAAAGCTTGTGTTGTTTCTTATTTATTTTCTACTGACATTCTTCTCTGCTTTATGTTATAGTTCTAAATGTTTGATTTTATTAAATCCTAGCCATTATCTCCATTTCACAGATGAAGTCTGGAAGGATTTAATTACATAGATGTAGTTTGAAAGACTACAAAGATGTAGTTTGAAAAAGATAGAATTTATGGGAGGGGCCAATATGGCAAACCAGAAGCAGATCCTGTGTATTGCTCTTCCAGAGAGGAAACAAAAGGGCCTGCAGAGGAACACTGACTCTCCAGGCCAATCATCCGAGAAACCATACTGGGATACATCACAGCAGCAGGGGACCACAGAGAGCAGAGAGAATCTAAGCTGGGCATCAGCGTGTCTGGGCTTAGTGTGGAGCCGGGAGAACCTCTCCAACATGGGAAAGGGTGAGTGAGTGAGAACCACTAGGGGGATTCATGCTCTCAACAGAAACCTGTGCAAGACTGGAAACAGGAGAATCTCTCTGCCCCCAACTCCCACACCTCACCACTGCATTTCTAGACTGAGACAGAGAGCCACCCAGATGTTTTGCCTCTTGAGTCCAAGGGGACCTCTACAAGCCTGGGGCCCCAGAGCAGACCAGTGCCATAGTCCAAATAGAGGCTGCAGTTGTGGAGCCTGGGAGTAGTAAGATTGCCCCATCGCCTCTTGCCAGACCGGAGTCAGTGCCAGCTTCTGGCCCAGTGGTCCCACTTGGCCTGAACTTGGCTGGCCACTCCACCCACCCTCACCACTGGTAGCCACGTGGGCAACACTTGCTAGAGCTTCTAGCCAAACTTGCTGTTTCTATGTAAACTCAGCTGGAGGGCACAGTCTCCTGTTGTTCTGGGCAACACTGGGATGGCAGAGTTCACAATCCCACCTGCCTATGTCACTGGTAGTCAGGTGGGAAATAGATGTTAGAGCTTTCGGTCCAGTGGTCCCCACTTTTGTGAAAAGTTAGCCTGCGGACATAGCATCCTGTTGTCCCAGAAAATACCTGGATAGCAGAGCATGTGACCGCATTCACTCCTGTAATTGACTGCCAGGCAGGCAACACCTGCTAGACCTTCTAGCTGAGCAGTCCTGCTTCTGTGTAAACTCAGCTAAAGGATGCAGCTTCCTGTTGCCCTGAGAAACACCCAGAAGGCAAGGCAGGCATCCCCAGCCACCCCCATTTCTGGCAGCTAGGCAAGCCATGCCTGTTAGAGCTTCCAGCCCAGCAGACCTACTTCTTCCTGAATTTGCTGAGGGGCACAGCCTTCTGTTGCCCTGCAAACACCTGGATGGCAGAATGGACTTCTCCACCCACCCCAGCCTCTTGTAGCCAGATGAATCACGCCCATTAGAGCTTCCAATCCAGCAGTGCTGCTTCTCCCTGAACTCTGTGGGCAGGCACAAATCTGTGTTTCCTCATGAAGCACATGGAACAGCCAACCTGAGAAGGATTCAGCTTGTCTGACAACTGAGGCACTTGCCTGAAGGTGCCCCATGGACCAAAGCACCCAAAAACAACAACAACAACAAAATAGGCACAGAGACAGAAATCAGAGGGGGCTCCTCCAAGACCTAGGAGTGAAATAGAATCCAAGCCAGTTAATCAAACCCACCTTATACCACAGTTATACCCTCAAGGGCATCCAAGAAGAAAAAAAGAAAAAAATCCATCCAAAGAATAGTAACTTCAGAGATTAAAGGAAAATCAGCCCACACAAATGAGAAAGAATCAGCACAAGAACTATGACAATTCAGAAACCCAGGGTGGCTTCTTAACGCCAGATCACCACATTAGTTCCTCAACAATGGTTCTTAACCAGTCTCAAATGGCTAAAAATGCCAGAAATAGAATACAGAATGTAGATAGTAATGAAGATCATCGACATACAGGAGATAGTCAAAACTCATTCCAAGAACCCTAAGGATTAAAATAAAGCAATATGGGAGGTGATAGATGAAATGACCATTATAAGAAAGAATCAAACTTATCTTATAGAGCTGAAAAATACAGTAGAAGAATTTCATAATGCAATTTCACGTATTAACAACAAATTTGACCAAGCTGAGAAAAGAATCTCAGAGCTTAAGACTGACTCTCTGAAGTAACTCGGTCACACAAAAATAAAGAAAAAAACAATAAAGAATAATAAGCAAAACCTCTGAGAAATATGGGATTATGTAAAGAGACCAAATCTACAGCTCATTGGACTTCCTGAAAGAGAGGGAAAGAAATCAAGCACCTTGGAAAACATTTTAGCATATCATCCATAAACATTTCCCCAACCTCTCTAGAAAGGCCAACTTTCAAATTCAGGAAATGCAGAGAACCCTTGTGAAATACTGCACAAGAAAACCATCCCCAAGACACATAGTCATCAGATTCTCTAAGGTCAAAATGAAAGAAAAAATGTTACATGCTGCTAGAGAGATGGGGCAGATAGCATACTTAGGGAACACCATCAAACTAACAGCAGACCTGTTAGCAGAAACCCTATAAGCCAAAAGATACTGGGGGCCTATTCTTGGCATTCTTAAAGAAAAAAATTTTCAACTGATGATTTCATATCCAGCCAAACTAAGCTTCATAAGTGAAGGAGAAATAAGATCCTTTTCACACAAGCAAATTCTGAGGATATTTGTTACCACTAGGCCTGCCCTACGAAAGGTCCTGAAGGGAATGCTAAAAATGAAAAAGAAAGACCATGTCTGGCCACTACAAAATCATCCTTAATTACATAGACCAGTGACACTATTAAGCACCCACACAAACAAGTCTGTATAAGAACCAGCTAACGGCATAATTACAGGATGAAATCCACACCTATCAATGCTAACCTTAAATGTAAATGGACTAAACCATCCAATTATAAGGTACAGAGTGGCAAGTTGATGAATAAAATGGTATGCTGTCTTCAGGAGACCCATCTCACATGCAATGGCTCCCCTAGCGTCAAAGTAAACGGATGAAAAAATATTTACCAATCAAATGGAAACAGGAAACAGCAGGGGTGTTATTCTAATTTCAGAAAACACAGACTTTAAGCTGAGTGTGATGGTTCATGCCTGTAATCCTTGCACTTTGGGAGGCTGAGGGAGGCAGATCACCTGAGGTCAGGAGTTCAAGACCAGCTGGGACAACAGGGCAAAACCCCATCTCTACTAAAAATACAAAAATTAGCTAGGCATGGTGGGGTGCACCTGTAGTCCCAGCTACTCAGGAGGCTGAGGCAGGAGAAATGTTTGAACCTAGGAGACAGAGGCTGCAGTTACCTGAGATTTCCCCCCTGCACTCCAGCCTGGGCAACAGAGCAAGGCTCCATATCAGAAAAAAAAAAAAAAAAAAAAAGAAGAAGAAGAAAGAAAAAGAAAACAAAGATCAAAAAAGATAAAGAATTATATAATGGTAAAGGGCTCAAGTCAATGAGAGGACCTAACTATCCTAAATATACATACACTGAACATAGGAGCACCCAGATTTATAAAGCAAGTTCTTAGAAAACTATGAAGAAATTTAAACTCCCACACATAATAGTGGGAGACTTTAACACCCCATTGACAGTATTAGACAGATCATCAAGGCTGAAAACTACCAAAGATTTTCAGGACCTGATCTCTGCACTTGACCAAATGGACCTAATAAGCAACTACAGAACTCTCCATGCAAAAACAACAGAATATACATTCTTCTCATCTGTACATGGCACATACTCTAAAATCAACCACACAATTGGGCATAAAACAATCCTCAGCAAATTCAAAAAAACCAAAATCTTACTAACCACACTCTCAGATCACAGTGCAATAAAAATGGAAATCAATCCTAAACAAGTCACTTAAAACTATACAATTACATGGAAATTAAACTATCTGCTCCTGAATGACTTCTAGGTACATAATGAAATTAAGGCAGAAATCAGAAATTTTTTGAAACTAATGAAAACAACGATACAACATATCAGAATCTCTGAGACATAGTCAAAGCATTGTTAAGAGAGAAATTTATAGCATTAAGCGTACAAATAAAAAAGTTAGAAAGATCTCAACTTAACAATCTAATATCACAATTAAAGGAACTAGAGAAACAAGAGCAAGCCAACCCCAGGCTAGCAGAAGACAAGAAATAACCAAAATTAGAGTTGAACTGAAAGACATTGAGATGTGAAAAACCACACAAAAGATCAGTGAATAGAGGAGTTTATTTTTTGAAAGAATTTATAGGACAGATATACTGCTTGCTAGACTAATAAATAAATAAACAAGTGAGGTGCCCAAGATGGTTGAGTAGAAGTAGCTAGTGTGTGTAGCTTTCATGGAAAGGAATGGAAAAAATGAGTAAATATAGCATCTTCAACTGAAAAATCTATGTACTTACATTTGGATTTATCAAAGAAACAACTTGACCCAGAGATAATGGAGAAAAGCAAGGCAGGACAATGGGCCACCTGTGAGTGATACAAAGCCAAGGAAGCGGTGAGTGAATATGCAAAACTATGCTGCTCCCATGGATCTTTGCAACCCTTGGGTCAGGAGATTCCCCTCACAAACCCACTTCACAAAGGCCTTCAGACTCCACACATACTACTTGGAGCTAAGTGGAGTCTCAGCAGAGCAGCTGCTCAGGCACATGAAGAGACTGGGGCTCTCCATGCTTCCCAGCAAAAGTAGCTGCAACTTTGACAAAGTGAGAGGTTAGACCTCAGTACATATTCTAGGAAAGAGGCTGAATCCAGGGGGCTGAGAAGACAGTCTGCAGGCCCAACTTCCATGGCACCTCACAGGATAAGACCCCCTGGCTTGGAATTCCAGCCAGCCACTGGTAGCACCATTGCACCTCCCTGGGATGGAGCTCCCAGTGGGAGGGGCTGGTCATCATCTTTGCTGTGTGGGCAACTTAGCCATTTCAGCCTTTGGGCTTTAGAGCCCAACCAGGGGAAGAGAGGATCCCCAAGCACAACACAGCTGCTCTATGAAAATGTGGTCAGACTGCCTTTTGAAGAGGGTCCCCAATCCCATTCCTCCTCACTGGGCAGGATCTACCAACCACAGCCTCCAGCCACCACCATCAGTGTTCTCTAGTCAACAGAGATTTGAAACCTCCCTGGGATGAAGATATAGAGGGAGGAACACACTGACATAATTGCTGTTTGGGCAACTTAGCTGTTCCAGCTTTCAGACATTGGAGAGTCCAAGACAACTGGGGGGTGGAAGTAGTCCCCCAGCACAGCACAGCTGCCCTATGAAAATGTGGCCAGACTGCTGTTTTAAGCAGGTCCCCAATTCTGTTCCTCTTCACTGGGTGGGTTTTTCCAACCAGAGCCTCCAGCCACCACGAGAGCTATCAAGCCAGTAGCAACTCAACATCTCCCTGGACAGAGCCCCCAGAGGTAACTGAAAGCTTCTCTGACCCTTCTCCTACAGCAGAACTGTACTAACAGTTGCTCCTTTGTTAGTGGACTAACAAAGGAGCAAAAACCCTAAGTGATTTATCCACACCCCCAACAAGCTGCAGTTGACCCAAGGAGAGGAGGCCAGTTTGTCTCCCATGGGTTGCACACACCCCCAATTGCTCATCACCAGACAGGAAATTCCTGCCTTGGGCCTGCAGCGCAAACCTTCCATCCTGGGATGACTGCACTGAGCAAATGCTGACCCACATGTCTCTGGGATGGAGTCCCCAGGAGATAAGCAAAAGACCTTGCACCACGACTACAATGAAGGTAGTCTCTTCCTCTGCTGCCTCCAAGTTTGGGAAGGAGCATAAACACTGAAATCACCCCAGAGCTGCAGTGGGCAGCCCAGGAGTTTAAAGCTAGCACTCAACAGGGAGAGGAACCCACACTTTCAAAGCATTGAGAGAGAACATAGCTGCAACTGTGAGGAAACATACAGGAGACACACAACTGAGCAAGAGTCTACCAACTGACCAATAAGCCTAAGTGCCACCTACTGGATCACACCAAAACTTCAACACCAAAAATATCACACCAACATATCTCTCTCTGAAACCAGAGACAGAATGTTAGCTCCAGATAAAGATCCTGCACAAAGCCTCAGCCCAGTTAAAGCATCCAGAAAAGATGTCTATTGACTGCACTCAATATACATTGCTGTTAAAGGAGTACCCACACACAAAGATGGGAAAGACCCAACATAACAACTCCACTAACTCACATGGCCAGAATGTTGTATGCCCTCCAAATGACCAGAGCAGTTCTCCAACAAGAATTCTTAAGTAGGCTAAACTGGCTGGAATGAATGAAATAGAATTCAGAATATGGTTAGAAACAAAGATCATTGAGGCTCAGGAGGATGGCAAAACCCAATCCCAGAAATATAAGAATCACAATAAAGCTATACAGGAATTGAAGGATGAAATATTCAGTATATAAAAGAACTCTATGGGTCTGACAGAGCTGAATAACACAATACAAGAATTTCACAGTGCAATCACAAGTACTAACAACAGAATAAACCTAGCTGAGGAAAGAATCTTAGAACTTGAAGACTGGTTTTCTGAAATAAGACAATCACAGAAAAATAAAGAAAAAATAACAACCATATTTCAGAATATTGTCTATAAAAGCTTCCATAACCTTGCTAGAGAAGTCAACAGCCAATTCAGGAAACACAGAGAACTCCTGCAAGATTCTACACAAGAATGCCATCCCCAAGACACATAATTGTCAGATTGTCCAAGGTTCAAATGAAAGAAGAAAATGTTAAAGGCAGCTAGAGAGAAAGGGCTGGTCAACTACAAGAGGAACACCATCAGGCTAACAGAAGACCTCTCAACAGAAGCCCTACAAGCCAGAAGAGTTTGAGAGCATATATTCAGCACTCTTAAAGAAAAAAAGTTTTCAACCAAGAATTTTATATCCAGCCAAACTAGGCTTCCTAAGCATAGGAGAAATAAGATACTGTTCACCTGGGCAAATCTTGAGGGATTTCATTACCACTTGATGTGCCTTAGAAGAGATCATGAATGGAGCACTAAATATAGAAAGGAAAGACTGCTATCAGCTAATACAAAAACACACGTAAATACACAGACTAGTGTCACTGTAAGACAACCCCACAAAAAAACCAACATAATAACCTATTAACAACATAATGATAGGATCAAACTCACATATATCAATACTAACCTTTAATGCAAATAGGCTAAATGCCCCACTTAAAAGGCACACAGTGGCAAGATGAATAAAAAGCAAGACCCAATGATATGCTGTCTTCAAGAGACCCAACCTCCATTCTTGACTTTTGTGTACCCACAGGCTCAACACCACATGGAAGCTACCACGGCTTGGGGCTTGCAGCCTTTGAAGCCACTGCCCAAGCTGTACCTTGGCCCCTTTTAGTCACAGTTGGAGCAGCTGGGACACAGGGCACCAAGTTCCTAGACTGCACAAAGCTGAGGAACCCTGGGCCCAGACCACAAACCATTTTTTCCTCCCAGACCTCCGGGCCTGTGATGAGAGGATTGCCACAAAGCTCTCTGACATGCCCTGGAGACATTTTCTCCATTGACTTGGTGATAAATTTTCGGCTTTTCATTACTTATGAAAATTTCTACTGCTGACTTGAATTTCTCCTCAGAAAATGGGATTTTCATTTCTATCACTTTGTCAGGTTGCAAATTTTCCAAACTTTTATGCTCTGTTTCCCTTTTAAAACTGAATGCTTTAACAGCACCCAAGTCACCTCTTGAATGTTTTGTTGCTTAGACACTTATTCCACCAGATACCCTAAATCATCTCTGTCAAGTTCAAAGTTCCACAAATCTCTAGGGCAGAGTTAAAATGCCACCAGTCTCTTTGCAAAAACATAACAAGAGTCCCCTCTGCTACAGTTTCCAACAAGTTCCTTATCTCCGTCTGAGACCATCTCAGCCTGGATTTTGTTGTTCATATCATTATCAGCATTTTGGTCAAAGCCATTTAACAAGTCTCTAAGGAGTTCCAAACTTTCCTACATTTTCCTGTCTTCTTCTGAGCCCTCCAAACTGTTCCAAACTCTGCCAGTTACCCAGTTCCAAAGTCACTTCCATATTTTTGAGTATCTTTTCAGCAGCACCGCAGTTCTGGTAACAATTTACTGTATTAGTTAGTTTTCATGTGCTGATAATCAAGACATAGTCTAGACTTGGTAATTTACAAAGAAAAAGAGGTTTAATGGAGTTATAGTTCCACGTGGCCGGGGAGGTCTCACAATCATGGCAGAAGTTAAAAGGCACTCTTACATGGTGGTGACAAGAGAGAGAATGAGAATCAAGTGAAAAGAGTTTCCCCTTATAAAACCATCAGGTCTTGTGAGACTTATTCACTACCATGAGAACAGTATTGGGGAAACTGCCCCCATGATTCAATTATCTCCAACCAGGAGATAATTCCCTCCCACATCATGTAGGAATTATAGGCACTACAATTCAAGATGAGATTTGAATGGGGACACAGACAAACTATATCAATACCCAAAGCAATTTACAGATTCAATGCTATTTCTATCAAACTACCAATGACATTCTTTGCAGAACTAGGAAAAAAAACTATTTTAAAATTCATATGGAATGAAAGAAGAAACTGGATAGTCAAAGCAATCCTAAGCAAAAAGAGCAAAGCTGGAGGCATCATGTTACCCAACTTCAAACTATACTACAGGGCTACAGTAACCAAAGCAGAATGGTATTGGTACAAATACAGGCACATGGACCAATGGAAGCCAATAGAGAGCCACAAAATAAGACCACACACCTACAACCACCTGATCTTCAACAAAGCTGACAAAAACAATCAACTGGGAAAAGTATCCCTATTCAATAAATGTTGCTGGGATAACTGGCCAGCCATATGCAGAAGGCTGAAGCTGTACACCTTCTTTACACCATGTACAAAAATCAACTCAAGATGGATTAAAGACTTAAATTTGAAACCCAAACCTATAAAAACCCTGGAAGACAACCTAGGCAATAACTGTCCTAGACAAAGGAACGAGCAAAGATTTTATGACAAAGACACAAAAAACAATCACAACAGAGACAAAAATTGATAAGTGGGATTTAATTATACTTAAGCACTCCTGCACAGCAAAATAAACTATCATCAGTGTAAACTGAAAACATACAGAATGGGAGAAATTATTTGCAAACTATGTCTCTGACAAAGGTCTAATATCCAACATTTATAAAGAACTTAAACAAATTTATAGGGGAAAAACAACCCCATTAAAAAGTGGGCAAAGGACATGAACAGACACTTTTCAAAAGAAGACATACCTGTGGCCAAACAAGCATACGAAAAAAAGCTCAGTATCATTGATTATTAGTAAATGCAGATCAAAACCACAATGAGGTACCACGTCTTACCAGTCAGAATAGCTATTATTAAAAGTCAAAAAATAACAGATGCTGGCAAGGTTGTAGAAAAAAAGAAACACTTTTACACTGTTGGTGGGAGTATAAATTAGTTCTACCATGTGGAAAGCAGTATGGTGATTCCTCAAAGAGCTTAAAAAACATCTAAAATTTGCCCCAGCAATCCCATTACTGGGTATACACCTGAAAGAATACAAATCATTTTACTATAAAGACACATGCGTGCCAATGTTTGTTGCAGCACTATTCACAATAGCAAAGACATGGAATCAACCTAATTGCTCATCAGTGACAGATTGGATGAAGAAAATGTGGTACATATACAGCATAGAATACTACACAGCCATAAAAAAGTACAAGATTTGCCAGGCACAGTGGCTCACGCCTGTAATCCCAGCACTTTGGGAGGCCTAGGTGGGTGGATTGCCTGAGCTCAGGAGTTCAAGATCAGCCTGGGCAACATGGTGATACCCCATCTGTACTAAAATACAAAAAATTAGCCAGGGGTGGTGGCATGCACCTGTAATCCCAGCTACTGGGGAGGCTGAGGCAGGAGAATTGCTGGAACTTGGGAGGCAGAGGTTGCAGTGAGCCGAAGTCATGCCACTACACTTCAGCCTGGGTGACAGAGCAAGACTCTGTCTCCAAAAAAAACAAAGTACAAGATCATGTCTTTTATGGGAACAGGGATGGAGCTGGAGGCTATTATCCTCAGCAAACTAATTCAAGGACAGAAAACCAAATACCTCATGTTCTCACTTATAAATGGAAGCTAGATGGTGGAGGTTGGACGGTGGAAGGAGGGAGAGGAGCAGAAAAGATAACTATTGGGTACTGGGTTTATTACCTGGATGATGAAATAATCCATACAGCAAAACTTCCTGGTATGAGTTTACCTATGAAATGAACCTTCACATGTACCCCCAAACCTATAATAAAAGTTTAAAAAAATAAAGTGATAGAAAAGACCCAAATAAATGCAATCAGATTTGATAAAAGGAGTGTATTAGTCAATTTTCATGCTGCTATAAGAAAACTGCTCAAGACTAGGTAATTTATAAAGGAAAGAGGTTTAATTGACTCATAGTTCTGAATGGCTGGGGAGGCCTCAGGAAACTTACAATCATGGCAGAAGGCAAAGGAGAAGCAGGCACCTTCTTTACAAGAGGGCAGGATGAAGTGAGTGCAAGCAGGGGAATTGTCAGATGCTTATAAAATCATCAGAACTTGTTAGAACTCACTATTGCGAGAACAGCATGGGGAAAACTGCCCCATGATCCAATTACCTCCACCTGGCCCCACCCTTGACACATGGGGATTATGGAGATTACAATCTGAAGTGAGATTTGGGTGAGGACACAGAGCCAAACTATATTAGGGTACATTCCCACTGACTCCACAGAAATAAAAATAATAATAATAATAATCCTCAGAGACTATTGTGAACACCTCTATTGCACACAAGCTAGAAAACCCAGAAGAAATCAATAAATTCCTGGAAACACACAAACTCTCAAGATTGAACTAGGAAGAGATTGAATCCCTGAAGAGACCAATAATGAGTTCAGAAATTGAATCAGTAATAAAAAGCCTACTAACAGAAAAAGCCCAGGACCAGATGAATTCACAGCCAAATTCTAACAGATGCATAAGGAAGAGCTGGTATCAATAATACTGAAACTATTCCAAAAATTGAAGAGGAGGGACTCCTCCCTATCGCATTCTATGAGGCTGGCATCATCCTGATACCAAAACCTGGCAGAAACACAACAAAAAAAGGCAAAACTTCAGGCCAACATTCTTGGTGAACAGAGATGCAAAGATCTCAAGAAACTATGAGCTGAATCCAACAGCACATCAAAAAACTAATCCACCACCATCTAGCAGGCTTTATCACTGGAAAGAATAGGATTTAAATTTTACAAAAAATTCACTAATTTTCCCAGAGCCACACAAATAGCTAGGATTTGAAGCTAGGATTTTGAATTTTAAAGTCATGGATTTTTTCACTAACCACTAGTAAATGAATTAGATTTATTAACTTCTGAAGCATCCTAAATGGTGACTGAACAGTCATATGTCTTCTTCAGGAGGTTCTGAGTCAAAACAATGCTTTTCTATTTGAAAATGTAAAGTTGGTACTCTACACTCTGCTGCTTATACATGCATATATTTTTTAAAACTATTATAATAAAAACTTCTAGGTTTTCTTAATTATTCTTTAGTTATAGCATTGTGCTCATATTTAAATGCACATCAAACACTGCTTTGCCTTTTCTTGATTTCTTAAATTTCAGAAAAGAACATAAAATGGTATTTAGTCACTCACAGAGGCAATGCCCCATTCATTAACCTATTGGGTGCAGCTAACAATGCTAATAGGATTGACTGTAAAATAGCTTAACTTGATATTTCTCTCTTCACATAGAAAATGTGAGCTTAGTAATAACCTTGTATGCCTCATTTAGCAGACTGGCCAGAGAATAGGAAGAGATTTATTTAAAAAATTGTACACGGTAACAGTGGAGGTGCCTAAACTAAAGATCTTCTGTTCAGCTCTTGTATTTTATATGCTATACTAGCCCCGCTTCTGCCATTCCAAATTATTTCAAGACTTCACATGTATTAAGAGAGACAAGTTCTTTCCTACAGTTTTTTTTTCTTAAAGCATAACCTCATGCTATCAATTTCTTTTGATATGCTCTTTTCTTTGAGCTTGTCATGAGTCCACCTAGCATATTTTTCTTCAATTTGGTGCACTTCGAAAATGGTAAAAAATTAGTACATTCTGAGTGGTGATCTTCCAAATTTAGACACATTCTAAAGAGTCCAAGATGGGTAAAGAAAAAAAGCACAGAGAGAACACCTAAATGTCTTCTTTCCTTAGTAAAAATAGACTGTTACTTTCTACCACAAAAATAAAGTTATAGATTCCACAGTGGCATAGATAAATATGGCAGAACTTTGTACTTTCTTCAAAAAGCATAATTTATACTAAAATAGGCACATAAGAAGTGGCCCACAGTAAAGTGAAAACTGTGGGTCTTGACAGCCATGTGGCAAGTCTTCCAAGGGAAGCAATGCACTGCTTAACTTAGCAGAATTCCATGTGATGTCATTTTTCTTCAACAAAAAAGGTCCTCTAAAGTTGATATATTCATCTGGTAATATATCCATCTAGATTTAAAGCAGAATAAAATTACTATGCTTCTGAAACAAAACATAAGTTTGGTGGACTTCCATTCCATTTTGAGTAGCTAGAGATAAAAGACTTATATGAGCTATGCATGTCAGCTAAAAGAACTGTTGTTAAGAAGAAGGCAAGTTTCGGAGTTTGGGATTTAGAATTAGAAACATTTGAGTTCAAGTGTTTACTTGAACTTTTTTGAAATTTTTTTTTATTCAGCTCTGGAACAAAATGATTTAATAATGTAATAACACTTACATCGTGGCATTCTAGTAATAGTACAATGAGGTAATGCACGTAAAGACACACAGACCATGCTAACCATTCGATAATCTACCTGTATTTAAAGTACAATGTACCTTGTCATAATTAATTACTAAATTATCATGAAATTCTTATAAGATACAATTACTTTTTCAGATAAAACAATTAAAAAACTAAGTGAGGAAGCTTGCCTTAGTAACAGCTTAAGCTTATGACAATTAAGAAATTAGGTTCTTTTTATTAAGCTGTCAAATAACACTGGAAGTTTTTATTTCCTACAGTTGATTTAACAATGATTCTAAACACTCTTCATCCAATGAATTGATATTTCTTGATTATAAGGATGGACATTTTATTCACCTTTGAGGATATATAGCTTCTTAAAAAAAGTAAAAGTCGATACCTGTCTTCAGGCTTTGTATATTAGAGTGGAGATTAGACAACAGACACATGGAAAAAATCTGTGTGGTACAGTGGTAATGTACAGGACAAGTGAGATTAACTGTACAGCTGTGGAAGAGGGAAAATCATGCAGCAGAAATTGCCATTTGGGGTCTGGACTAGTCGCAGACCCATAATGTTTAGACTTATGATGAACTGCTAAAAGAGAGATGATGCAATTCATTCAGATAGATAACAAAGCAAGGCTGATTTTGGGGAAGACAATACATCGATTTTTTTTTTCTGTGCTTTTTGAGGCTCTAGCTCATTCTTGAAAAGACTTTCTTCAGTCAATAGGCATTTGGCTTTGCTTTACAGAGAATGAGGATTTGATATAATGATTTGAGCCTCTATCAAAAACGTGAGAGTTGAACCATTAAAATGTAAAAACAATGTAGAAAAAGGAAAGGTAGAGCCCTAAGATACAGCACAATGCCATACATACAGCAAATGATCAATACACATTTGTTAATAAAATAAGTGAGAGACAGGACTACCTAATGTTACTAGTATGCTCTAACAACTACTAATCTTGCTAACCCTACTGCTATTGCTACTGTTTTTACTATTACCATGTTCCTATTACCTGTTTTTCCTTGTCACTTAAAATGGAGAATCATTTTCCCTCCCTGAGCCTATATCTTTGTGGAAGAAAAAAACCAAATTCAGGGCAGACCTAAGTGGCTTAAGATAACTTTCCAGACATGCCTTTGGGCTATTTTTCCCTCCCAAAGACTAAGTAAGACCAAGACTAGGGGGAAAAAAATGGGACCAAATGATCTTTAGTCACTGGAGACTAACAATATTCGCAAAAAGTATTTGACATTTGATATACAACAAAAATGATGGTAATAGCATCTAGAATAACTTGAATAGGAATGGGAGCACATGGGGGAGCCTCTATTCACCATCGAGGGGAATTGAACTAAACTAATAAGGCAAAGACAACATGACTTAGTATGTCAGGCCATGGACTGTGGGGCTGCCTTTCTGTGTTTGAATGCTGCTGTTTGAACTGTATGGGTTTGAATGCTGGTGTTGCTAATTATAAGATCTCTAACCTTGGGCAAGTCATCTGACTTTTCTGTGTGTGCCTCACTTTCCTCATGTTTAATATGTAAATAATGACTCATGAAAATATATAAAAAATTAAATGAGTTAATATACTTGGAAGTGAGTTAGCTGATGTTCTTTACACACTGCCTCATTTATCCTCAGAAGAACCCTATGAGATTCCCGTTTTGCCCATCAAGACATAGGCTTAGAGATGTAGTGTAACTTGTTCAAACTTATTTATTTAATAACCAAGAGCCAAGGCCAGCATTTGAAACTAGGGGCATATTTAAAGAGCAAATACAGAAAAAACAATACCAACAAATGCTGACTGTTGATCTCCCAAAAGACCACCAGAAAACCTTGTGGATAAAATAAAACTGAGTTTATTAGATTTGTGCAGAAAGGTAAAACTCCACTTTGCAGAGACTTACTTTAGATGTACTATATTTATAGGGTTTTAGAGCCTAGGCTATATGATTTTTAAGGTGTATCTTGACAAACAGGGAATTGATTGGACAGAGTTTATGACCTAACACCTTTGGGTTGGTGATTGCAATGAGGGAGTGTCATGAAATTATCAATGAGCAAGCTGTTAGCCATGATATGTGAGCCATTAGCTAGTCCATAATCTTATCTTCTAGGAGCAGGTATTTCTTGGAGCAAACAGTTGGGATATTTTTGCTTGATTTTAGTACATTCCTTCACACATAGAAAAGGAATTATGTTGACTTCAGTTCGCTGAAAGAAGAAGCAAAAATAACAGGAGGAGACCAGCTAAAAGAGTGCCACTAAAGGTCATCTGAAGAGACCTATGCTGATTTATAAATGTCCAGCAACAAGATGGACAAGATTGGACATAAAAATAAAGGTCTTGTAGCACCATTTCTTTTTATTAGTATAAGACTTTATCTAGAGGCACAGGATATAAAAATGATTTGATTTTTGCTTTAATGTAAGAGTCCAACTCAAATTGAAACATGTAAAAACGAATGACTTACAAAAACCTTCAATAGCAGTATTCTGAAAGCCAATTTAATACTAACTTCTAAACTACTAGTACAGTACATAAAAGTCCATGTTTTTACCAGTCTTTCTTAATCTTATTATTTGATTCATCATTGCTGCCACTTCTTACTCTATTTCACATACAATGAACTTATTGTCAGGAGTAACATTGTTAAATATATTTAACTTTATATTTGAAATGCTTAGAAAACACCAATTAAAAGTATTTCCTTTTTGAGAAACTTAGACAAATGAACCCATTTGGAGACTGAATTAAAAATGTGCACTAATTACTCATGTCACTGAAGCACAACAACTTATCTCCATGAATGCACAAATGGATGAGGCCTGCACTGATATGGGCAACAGATGGGGGTGAAGGGAGTGAGATAGAAGAGGGGGTATATGCTGGATTCAACTGTGTTACTAAAAGTTATACAGAGAAATTTGAAATTGATAGAAGAGCTTTGATATGCATAAAACAACCAATGGTTTTTATTTATTTAGTAAGTTAGTGTTTGTGCATGTGTATGTATTTATGTATGCATTATGTTCAAAATATTGTATGTTAAATACTCAGCTGAGAGGGAAGCAGAGATAAAGATCTCTAACAATCTCTCTCCTCTAGGAGCTTACCATCTAGTGGGATCTTTTAAGTATGTGCACAAATAACATTTAGAGAAAGTAGTGTTTGAAAAGCCCTGAATGAATTGCTCAGATAACTGTTTATTAGGAGTCCAAAGATCTAATAATAGGTAATTTCGAAGTTTAGGAAATACTGGGTAGAATTTCTATTGATGATACTTTTTAATGCTGTACCCCAGTACTTAGAATTTAATGCTGTCTATCCAGCAATCTACAAATAACAAATGTTATTAAATGTACTGCTATTAAGTCCAGCGAATATAATCATGGAATAATCAGTTCATGAACCTTATCATCAGATGAAAAAAAATCAGAAATTAATCAATAAGCCACACTAAATAAATAAGAAATTGTTACTGTAGAAATTTCAATGAAGAAGAGAGACACACAGTGCCAGAAGGTATTGGTCGTTAACTTCATTTGGGAAATCAAGGAAGGATATCAGAAAGCAAGTGTTGATGAAGCTAGAATATGAAAGAATAATAGAAATTAAGTCGGCTGGGGGAGTTAAAAGATGGGGAAGGTTGGAGATGAAAAGATGATTCCAGGAAGAATAAGGGAGTATGATGTGTTTCACAGGCATAGGAAATCCAGAAACCCAGAGTGGTCTAATCACAGTGAGCACCATCCCCAGCACCCCACTCCCCCGCACACACAAAAATGTTAAGACAACGAAGGAGAAAATGGTTGTGACAGGAACCCTTGGGTTTAATTTTTAGCTTGCGTAAGTATTTCAAGCAGGGAATTATGTGATTGGATTTACATTTCACAAGATCACCCCAGCTGTAGTTTAGATAATTGATTGGAGAGTGTCATGAAGGAAGGGTACCTGTTAGAAAACTAGAGTATTTGCCCAGACTAGAGTAATTTGGACTGTAAGTGCTGGCAGTCGGAAGGAAGGAAAGTCAACTTCTTTAAGACATGTTTAGGAGGAACTGGTGAGAGATTTGTTAAGCCGGGGCAAGTGGAAAAAAAAAACATACATGATGACTCTTACATTTCTGATTTGGATAGCAAGACAAAAGTTCAAACACTCACTGCAGCAGGGGACCAGGTTTGAAGAAAGCTCATGAATTTGGTTTGAAAATACTGATTTTCAGGTATATTTGAGACATTAACTGAATGCTTAATGTAGACACAAATGCCTTTCTTGTCAAATTTGAAGATGGCATAAAAGCTTTAAAAGAGCATGGAATAAAAACCTTTTTAAAATTAGAAATAAGTACTGACATCAAGTACAGCGAGGTTAGTTTTAATAGACAGAGATATTCAAACTTATTTGTCTGAAAAGCAAGTTAATAAACACAAATTAGTGAAGATATCAAGTATAAATATTGTAAAATTTAAATGGGAAATACACAAATAATTACTTCAATGATGTAAAACCTGATAACTAGTTGTTTAAACTGGTTTAGTTTCAGTTTTTAAGCTCTACTTGTGTTATTTTTATGTGCCCACATTTTACTCCTAATTAAATTATATCCCCATGACATATCTCTATTTTGAATATAAAAGTTTGTTAAGTACACAAGATTTTGAAAAATATTAAAAAGCTAGGTATGTAGTAGCTTGTATATTTATTTTTCATTAGTCTCTAAACAGCATACAGACATGCCTTTTAAAAATTATTTGGAAGAGTGACAAGTCGCCTTTATACTTGCATAGTGTATTTCATACTTGCCTTCTCAGCAGTATTCAGCTAACAAAGCTTTGTGATTCTGTTTGAAAGCTGGCTCCAGAATACCGATAGCATTTATTCTTATTCCTAGAATAAAATGTGGTACACAAATGGCCTTATTAGAAAATACTAGTCCACCCTGCTTTCTATATATTTATAGATGAGGTGTTCTTTTCAACTAATATTATGAGTAGATATAATACTTTTTCCTTTTCTAATTCATAACTTATGCACATAGGCTGATGAAATATACCCTTTACTTAAAAGCTACTGCAGTTCAGGTGAATGCACAGTTAGTCCCACATGCAGATAGAGTAGATATTTAACCTACCTGATATTAGAATAAAGATTTGGGGACAGCATATATATTCTAGAATGTATGCCTTAAACAATCCTACCTTATCACCACATGTGTTTAAAATTCTAAAGTAAGGTATTTAATTATTTGAGCAAAAACTTTAACAGTAGTAGCCTCCTGTTAAAGACTGGAATATTCTTCATAATTTATTTAGAGTCATTGAGCTATCGTTAGTGATAAACAATATAATCTAAAGCACAACCCTAGAATTTAGGGGTTCTGCCCTAGGCAGAACAACAATATGAGAGTTCAGAAAAGCCCTGGAGCACAGGAGAGAACTGGAAGAGGACTGATATGGCTTGGCTCTGTGTGCCCATACAAATCTCACTACGAATTATAATCTCCACTGGTTGTGGGAGTGTCCTGGTGGGAGGTGATTGAGTCTTGGGGGTGGACTTGCCCCTTGCTGTTCTCCAGATAGAGTTCTCACGAGATCTGGTTGTTTGATAAATGGTGCTCCCCCGCCACCTCCAACCCCCTACCCTGTTTCTCTCCTGCCACCTTGGAAAGACATGCCTTGCTTCCTCTTTGCCTTCTACCATGATTGTAAGTTTCTTGAGGCCTCCCCAGTCATGCAGAACTGTGATTCAATTAAACCTCTTTTCTTCATAAATTACCCAGTCTCAAGTAGGTCTTTATAGCTGTGTGAAAATGGACTAATACAAGGACTATCTTCAGCAAGGGAAAAGACTGCTAAGAAATTTAAAAGGGCTTTAAAGGGCAAACTGCTGACACAAATTTTCCAAAGAAGTATTGCATTGAAGCATAAATCCAGTGTAATCTTCTAACAAACATCTTGGGAGCTGTATATTGCATCAGACTTTATGCTTTACATTCTCTTAAAAAAAACGCAACAAGACAGTATGAGTTTTTTTTTCAGTTGTAAAAATGTATAAGCCCATTTGATCCAAAAAAGACTTGAAGTGTGCAGTCATATATCAGCTGTACATTTGTATATTTTCTAAATATGAGAGGACCATGTAATCTTTTTATTCAGCCCTCTCACATATATATATATATATATGTGGATATATATATCCACCTTCCCCTCATATATATATATGAGATATATATATGGACATATATATCATATATATGATATATTGGATATATATGATATATATCATATTCATATATATGACACGTATCATATATATGGAACATATATATCTATATATATATGGAGAGAGAGTGAGAGAGGGAGAGAGTATGTATTTGTGATATTTAATTAGTTTTCTTGGAGATAAATCTTCTATTTAAAAAATTGTCTTATTGTTCGTGATAAACAAATTCAAGGTGTCTGAGCCTTTTTTATGATTTCGATGCCTGTATTTATATTAGTGTGTTAATCATAAGTGATTATCTAAGTGCCAGTGTTTAATTTTTAAAGTTGGGGAGACGATTTCTGTTTGGCCTTAGGTTAATATAGACAAGTTTCAAAATGACAGAAATTCTCCTGCACCCACTGTTGAACTCAAATTATGTTGTCAGTTATGAATGCCAAAATTATATGTACAATTGCAAGCAATTTTCATAAAAAAGATTATGATTTCTGAAATTAGTTAATAAACTGAGGCTTTTATTTTACCTCACAATAATGATAGGCAGTGCTTTGTTTCCAGTACTATCAAGACAAGGATTGAGGTACAATTAACATGCAAATGTACACCAAGCGAAGATGAAATGTGGTCAAGACATTCCGTATAAATAACAGTTTTTCAGTAGTTAAACTGGATAATAGCAGTGGGTTGTTTGAATTATAACCCAACACACAATAGTGTGTCCGAGGCATTAGAGCAGTATTGGTTAAGAAAATACAATATTGAGCTTGGCTTCTGTACTTGAGTTTGGATAAGTGACTTCACCTTTTCCTGTGTAAGCTTCCTCAATGACAAATTGAGGAAATATATACGTTCTGCATAGAATTGTTATGAATACTAAATGAGTTAAAATGTGGTTAAACAGTGTCTGGAACATCATAAGCACTGAATAATGGCTAGACGTTATTAATACTAGTAGTAAAACCAGCACATGCAAATACTGTGCACCAAAAGAGTTCCCACAAGATACCCATGTTGTGGGTATTAATTTCAGCAAAGTGATACCATCTGCAACATTAAGTTAATTTGCTGATATGAATGTAATTGGTTTAATAATTTCATTTATTAATATTTACAAGTATTATTATTAAATTTATTAGAATAGTGAGTAATTTATGGTAGTGACTTACTTCAAGTCCCAGGTGAGAAACTAATTAACTGTAGTTTACATCAAATTCACTTAACCATTGTACTCTATTTACTCTTTCACAAATTGAAATTTGAGCCAAATAATCTTTGAGGTAGCAGATCGCAAAATGTGGTTCTTTGACCACCTGCATCAGCATAATCGAAATTACTTTGTAAAAATAGTGAGTTTATTTTTTTAATTAATTAATTTTTTAAATAAACAACAGAAGTATATTGCGCACTGATCTGGAAGATGGGAAGTCCAAGATCAAGGGGCCAGCAGATTCAGTGTCTGGTGAGGAGACACTGTCTGCTTCAAATATGGTGGCTTCTTGCTTCATCTTCAAATGGCAGAAGCAGCAAACAGGTTCTCTCGAGCCTCTTACATATAGCAAGTTTCTTTTTAAACATTATGAATTAGAATTATAGGAGATAGCATACTGTGAACTTTATTTTTAACTAGTTTAATTTCAGGCTGACTGATGTTTAAAAATTACTTCCTTGAAATCAATTGCAGCTCCAAATTTATGTTTCTTCTTCAGTAGTTTGCTGTCTAACTCCAGGTTAAAGCTTACGATGATGAGCACTTTATTACCTCAGGAGAACACCAGGGAAATTTGCAGGCATCTTTAATTTTTTCATTTACTGAGCCAAAAATTGTGTTTCTATAATTTATATCCACTTAAGGCACTCATAAGTGAAATTGTTTTTTTCTTTTAAAAATTTTTGTTTTATTTTTTTAAATAGAGATGGGGTTTCATTATGTTGCCCAGGCTGGTCTCAAATTCCTGGGCTCAAATGATCCACCTGCCTTGCCCTCCCAAAGTGCTGGGATTATAGGCATGAGCCACCACACCCAGCCAGAAGTGGAAATTACAATAATGATGGCAAATAGAGCACTAACTGACATAAAGACAGTGTGACATTTTGTGTTCAAAACATTTATTCTAGATATTAATTAGAAAGCAACATTTTGGAATATATGCATTATATATGTAAAATAAAGCCATTGAATTAGAAGAACAAAAGCATGAATCCTTTCTAAAAGTTAAGTGGAATTTAGAGTCATATAGTGTGAGAGGATAGTAACTTGTTTTTACTCTTAATAAAATAAGAGCAGCTAACATTAATGAATGCTTTCTCTTTGAATTCCATTTAGTATAGGTCATAAATTGTTTTTATAAACATAAAAGATTATAAATAAGTAGTCTTTTAACCTATAATAAATCTTATACTGTTTAGGAGATTTATTCAAAATAAATGTGTGATGTTTACTACTTAATGTCAGCAAGAAATTTCTTTTACCTTAAAAGACTTCTGAATTACTCTTGAAAACACCATTTTATCCTCTAGAATATGAAACTAAGAAAGTGTATAGAGAAAATTAATTCGTATGATATCAGTAACATGTTTTGAGTATCTCAGAGGAAATTTTTAATTTACAAAATAGCATTTTATGTAATTAATGTCACTATTGGTGGTTTATTTTTTAACATTTAAGTGTCTCTTTATGTTCAAATTATAAAATTAGATGAATTTAAAACACATTGAATGTATTTATTTTAGGGAAAAGTGAATTCTCAGGACAATAACTTTATATATCTACATATTATTTTATGTATAAATCTATATTATTATCTATATATCTACATATTATCTACATAAAATTGATATTTATATCAATTTTCTATTTCATTCATCTTCATTTTAATAAGTATTTTTCATGTTTACTAGAAGTTATTAATTACATTTCCATTGTTAGCCTCATATTTTAATGGGATAAATTTCAATATTGTCCCTAAAATATACATTTATATTGTTCATTATATTTGTAAAATTTTATGTTAATTAAATCAGTAAAAAAAGTACTTATTATTGGTACTCAATTTAATGAGCTATTTATTCACGCAAAAATAAAAATTGCGTGCTCTTTCAGAAGAAACGATTTCATAGTATCAGTTCTCCCCCCATCCACTTGTGTAATATCTCTCATCCTAAGGGAGAATAACTTGAAAGAATGACTTCCATTATCTGAAATGTCAACCACTTGGAAAGTCGTGTGTTTCCCACCTTCTACAGTTATGACTCTTGACCCACTGGAGCTGTTAGAGGCCTCTAGACTATTTTGTAAATTCAGGTTTGAATGTTTATAAATGAGATAGGAAGTAAAAATATTCTGTGACAGCATAATCTTTGGACCTATAGTAAGATGGACTATTAATCTTAAAATAGGTTTTCCTCATTCCTGTTTGTGCTTTCCTGAAAAAATTATCTGAACGATACTATCATGTACTGTATTAGACAATAAGATTTGTTTCTTACCCTTGTAAATGGACAAAAAAAAGAACCCCAGGGATTATAAATCAAACTTTTTAAGTCAGAAATTCAATACCTTTATTGTTTTTTACTTTTTAAAAAACACAGCATATAATTTGGATCATATTTCAAGTTATGGCATAATAACAGGTCTTACTATTTGCTCTGATGAAGCGTTTATAACCTGGTAATAGAATCACTGAAAGAGATGATTGCAAAAACTACCAAAGTTACAAAATATTTACATTTCTTGAGGAATTTAGGCTTTTGAGAGTTTAGTATGGTCATTAAACTTGGAAAGCCAAGACCAAACCAAGTTTTAGAGCTCCTCTCATGACACTTTCTCAAATACATTAAATATTACTTTGCTTAATACTTTTTTCTCAATCATAATATACTAACCCTTTTGGATGAATGAATGTTGCCATCTTTGCCTTCTAAAAATTATATGTTTATTTGAGACCCAAATAAGCAATATGGCATTGAAAAACTTGGCCCATGTTATTCTCAGCAGGGTCTGAGGCAACATCTCGTAATCAAACATATTGGCATTTCTTTGGAAAATTATATCACTAATAAGACAATATGATATATCTATGAAGATTGTAGGAAATAGATCTATCCATTTGGATAGAACCATTTAAAAAATAACAACAACTCTAATTATCTGATATACATTTGAACTGATGAAAATATTATTCTGGTGTCCAGTCACAGTATGTAATAACAAGGTAGGGAGTGTGGGGCGGGGATGATGCCTCAGTGGAAAAAAATTATATTGTCTTATTTTATATACAGTCAATATGATATAAATTATCATATATATCATATATGTCATATATCATATTGTCTTATTAGTCATACTGTGTGTGTGTGTGTGTGTGTGTGTGTGTGTGTGTGTGTGTATATATATATGTATATATAATCTAATAATACACCCCTTCCTCTATTGGTTCAATGTAAATTCTACCACCAAATGAATTTGCCACAATCTTACCAAATTGATACTTTGGGTTTTTAGAAATTTTGTGGTTTCTAATACTGAGAATAATGGATCATGGTGGTGGTATTCCAATATGGTGGTGGTATTCCAACATTTTAGGAATCATGATCTTCCCTGCATAATAAATTTGCCTCCAGGGAGGAACTTTGACACTGTGGAGAGTCTAGATACTTCTTGGATTTCTATAAATAGTTGTACTTATTGGGCTGCACTTAAGCAGAAGGACATTCTCATTACACAATGTCCCCCATATATCATAGTCCTAGGATTCTGGTTCTTTCTGTCAAAGTAAAACATTATTTTGGGTAGGGTACAGTGTCTCAACGCCTGTAATCACAGTACTTTGGAGGTGGAGGCAGGCAGATCACTGGAGGTCGGGAGTTCGAGAATAGCCTGACAAACATGGAGAAACCCTGTCTTTACTCAAAATACAAATAAGCCAGTCATGGTGATGCATGCCTGTAATTCCAGCTACTCGGGAGGCTGAGGCAGGAGAATCACTTGAACCCAGGAGGCGGAGGTTGCTGTGACCTGAGATTACGCCATTGCACTCCATCCTGGGAAACAAGAGCAAAACTCCGTTTCAAAAAAAAAATGTTATTTTTAACACAAGCAACATTTGATATGCTCCTGCATCTCTAGTGACTCTAGCACAGAGAAGCAAAGCTTATTATTACAGTGCAGAATGAAGAGAAACTTGGAAAGTTCAAGTAAGTTAGACATGTTTCTATTGATTACAACACTACTGAGAGGAGGATGGGGTAGATAAAAACCAGAAAGTTGGAATTAGTTAAAAATTCTCTCTCTAATGATTGAGCCCTTTGGAAAAAGCAGTGGATATGTTACAAGTTGCATTTTAATAACATTCAAGCACAAAACTGTGAATGTACTATATATATGTTCAGAAAGAAAAACAATTGTAATGTTATTTGAATACTTCTTTTGACATAATTAGTAGATTTTCTAAGGAAAATTGCAAGAAATACCTTGCAGTTACCATGGGAGCAGAGTCAATATGTTTTGAATGCAATGACCTGAACTATTGAAAAAGAAAGAACATATGTACCCCTGGTGCACTTCGGGAACAGCGCTGTGCATGCAGCTTTCTGTGATTATGCACATATGGTAGCCACTAGCCACATGTTGGTGTAGAGCTTTTGAAATGTGGCTCCTGTGACTAGGGAACAGAGTTTTTCATTTAATTTTATTTCAGTTTAAGGGTAAATATATGTGGGCAGTAGCTACCCTATTGAACAGTGTAGCTATGGAATTTAACATGTACTAAATCTGTGAGCTTTTTTCCCTGCCATTTTAAGGTTGTAAAGATTGTAGGAAATAGATCTATCTATCCCTATCTATTTGGATAGACCTATTTAAAAAATAGCAACAACTCTAATTATCTGATATACATTTGAACTGGTGAAAGTATTATTCTGGTGTCCAATCACAGTATGTAATAACAAGGTAGGGGAGGGGGTGGGGATGATGCCTTAGTGTAAATATTAAATCTTAGTTACATAAGTCTAAAGTAAGTCAGTGCTCCTCAAACTTGAAAGTATGTAAGAACCAGATGAAGAACTTGTTAAAGCCCAAAGATTCTTATTTGGTAAGACCAGGATGGGACTCAACACTTTCATTTCTAACAAGCTCCAAGTGTTTCTGCTTGTGGTGATCCATAGACCAAATTTTTAATAGTACTTACTGGTTACTTAGTGTAGTTATCCTCAGTGTAGATTCTAGACTAGAATCTGTACCAGAAGAATTACTTTGGAACTTGTCAGAAATGCAAATTATTACTATTATGACTTACCCCAGATTTATTAAATCAGAAACTCTAGGGCTAAGCATAATGTTTTCACAAGACTTCCAGATGAATACGATGCATGCTAAAGTTTGAGAATCACACTGACTTGGTGGATTGGGATGTCCTAAGAAGCAAGAAAATGTGACTAATTACTTATTAATATAGTCAGAGCAGATAAAGTTACATTTCTTATATTGATTCTAATAAAAATCCATTGCTTTGCATTGATTTATTAAACTATAACATAGTAGCAAAATGTAGAATTTTAATAGAAAAATTATGTTGTGATGAGATTTTGAGATTTCTGTCAATTACATAAAATGATTATAATATGAAATCTGCACTATAAACTATGAAGTAAATAATTTTAATATGCAGTGCCTTATGACGTATTAACATACAGATGGTACACTTGAGGCTCTTTTCCAGGAGATTTCAATACAATCAACTTAGTTCTGTCTTTTTTCTGCATTGTCAACATTGAAACATTTGCATCTGGACAATGTGTAAATCTCAGAAAGATTTACTTTTACAGTGGAGATAGGTGGTTCTCTATACCCAATATCCTGTTTTGGAAGAATTTATGGTATAATAAAAAAGATATTTGTTTTTCATCCCTAGTACAAAGCTCCTAAGAGGCTTGTAATTTGCTGAGTGATAAAGGTGATAAGAACATCTTTTGTTCTAAAAAGGCAAATACTGGCAGGTCCCTAGAGAGCTTCAGGATAGGAGCTGATTGCCAGAAAGACCAAACTTTAATTAGAAGCTTGGAACTTTTAGCTCCTCCTCCCATCCTTCAGGAAAGGGTGGAGGGGATGGAGAATGAGTTAATTATTAATGTCCACAATTATGCCTGTATAATGAAACCATAAAAAACAAAAAACCAAACCAAGAAAAGAAAAAAAAAACCCTTTAATCAAAAGGGTTTAGGAGCTTCTAAGCTGGTGAACACATCCACATGCTGAGAGGGTGGTACAGCCCAACTTCATAGAAAAGAGAATTGTGAGCTTGGGACCCTTCCAAATCTTATCCTATGTATCTCTTCATCCAGCTGTTCATTCGTATCCTTTATAATAAACTATAATGGAAAGTATAGAATTTTTCTAAATTTTGTGAGCAATCCTAGCAAATGATCTACCCTGACAGGTGGGTTTTGGGAACTTCCAACTTTGTAGCCAAGTAGGACAGAAGTTTATATTAACCTGGGGATAGGGAGCTGATACTTATGACTGGTGTCTGAAGTGAAGGCTGTCTCATGGGACTGTGCACTTAAATGTGTAGAGTCTGATGCTAAATCCGGGTATTTAGTGTCAGAATGAAATTGAATTGTAGGACATTCGGATGGTGTTGGAGAATAAGAGATTTGGTTGGTGTGGGAGAAAACTTCTCAGGACTGTTAAACAAACATGAACTAGCACTTAATGACTTGGCAAATTGTTATCCTATTTATATATCAATGAATATAAGAAATTTAGGAGATTAATTATTAGGAAAGCATGCTGTGGGAGACACGGCTAAGGGTGTAGCTGTGCAATTTTTTACTGAAGAAATTAGGCATATGAATAAAGGGTATATTTAATCTTTTCAGTGGAAGTGAGAACTAAATGTGAGTTTTTCTAGGAACAACTGCAGGACCTTCTTAACTAATGGTGTGAATTCCTGTGACATTCACAGGAGTTCCGTAAGGTTTCTGAGAGTGTTACATCATCAGGAACATAGTTTGGAATGAAAGAGAAATAGGGCAAATTGAAGGAAGACTATGAGACTTGGGGGACTCTATAGGCAGGGGAAAAAAAAACTGTTGGAACTTCTCACCAGCAAACATGTGCTATCCTTCAAGAAAGAGGAAGAATTACTCCAACAGCAGAGCTTTGGGCCTAGAGAATGAAGCTGTAGCTAAAGAGATAAAGGCTGGGACACCCAGGAGCACAGAGGGCAGAGCCAGAGACCTAGAAATAGAGCCTCAAGTGATAGGGGATGATTCTTAGGCCTTGAAACCTAATGAAATTTTCCCTGTTGGATTTAGAACTTGCTTGGGATCAATAACCACTTTATTATTCCATGTTCTATTTTTAAAATGGAAATAGCTGTGACTGTTATAGTAATCCTGTTGTACCATTTTGGAAGTAGACAATTTGGAAGTAGATAAATAAGCCTTTTGGAAGTAGATAATTTTTTCTGGCTTCATAGGTCCACAAATGTAATAGAAAAACTTTGCATGAGGATGGATCATATCCAAAGTCCTATCCATACCTGATTTAGATGAATTATATGATGAAATTTGGCACCTTTGAACTAATAATATTTAGATGAGATTTTGGATTTAGCATTAATGCTTTAAATAGGCTGAGTATTTCGGGGAAGTTGGGTTGGGGTGAATATACTGTGAATGTGGAACAGATGTGAATTTTGAGTAACAGAGGGCAGATTGTAATGGTCTAGATGGTGTCCTCCAAAATAAGATTATTACCTTATTTTGTAAATGATGTTTGCATGTGGGGATTAAATTACAGGTCTTGAGAAGAGAAGCTTATCCTGGTTTATGCAGTCAGACCCTAAATGCAATCATGTGTATCTTTATAAGATAGAGGGAGATTAGACTGAGAAATACAAAATGAAACAAATACAGAGAAGAGGAGGAGGTCATATGACTATGGATACAGAGATTGGAGTGATGTGGTCATAATCCAGGGAACACCTGGAGCCACCGGAAGCTGGAAAAGGCTAGAAAAGGATTCTCCCACCAGGGGTTTTACAGGGAATACAGAGGTGCCCACATTTTGATTTCAGACTTCTTAGCCTACAGAACTTTGAGAGAATAAATTTATGTTGTTTTAAGCCACCCAGTTTGTGTTAAGTAACACAAAGAAACTAATGCATTTAACAACGAAACAACTAAATCTAATTTTACCTCTCCAGAGAAAGTTGGCATACAGAGAACTAACTGGAAGATTCATATGTTTGCCTTTTCCTCTGTCTTTATCAGTGCCATTTATCCTCCTTTTGCTGCTTATCAGGTGGTAGTAGAGGTAAAAGTTGCTATGTAAGTACAGAAGATTTTGTGTGTATAGCTAGGTATTACCCGCTAAGTTGAGAACATCAATAAAAATGCTGACAGTATAATAAGATTTGAACTAATATTTTTATAATAACTCTTTCAAAATGAAAACCTCTCATAATGGCAAAAATAACTTTACCTTTAAAAAGCTAAAAGTATAATTATTTCTTTCTCATTTTTCAAGTTATTTTTGTTACCACAATTAAGTCAATCTTAATAAGTATAATCAGTCAAAAATAGATTCTAAAATTGAGTTGTTGACAATATTAAGGCAACATAGTGCATACAACAGTACATATTTTCTAAGTTGGGCATGTAGAACTATGAAAAGTTGTAGGGCCAAAACAATGATTCTCAAATGGGTTTAAAGTGATGGAGAAAATAATAGAGTTATCTGGCCTCTTTAATCTGCTTATGCCCTCTGAGGATCTCATAGATGCCCTTTGGGAAAACATACTTTTTGCCTTGAAGAAAATTACTGTCACTATGAGCTGTTTACTAGAGATTTTGTAATTTTCCTCTGGTATATTGCAATAGAAATCAAGTATTATCTAGGGTTTAGTGTTCTGCTTGTAAGTCAACATCATGTATGTAAAAATGTATGAAAAAGTATTCATCCTTATTTCTATAATATGTGTCTTTACACACACACACACACACACACACACACTTTATAAAAAATTTGCCATTCTTAGGTTTTACAAGACCAATACTAAAAAAGACTGCTTATTTCTTCCCTGGCAATTTGCCTGCATTTTTTAAGACAGGCGTGTCAGTAATATAAGACTATGACTTCACTGTTACAACAGTTAAGGTTACTATGGTTTAGATATGGATTCAGGGTTTTTCTTTTTTTCTTTTTTTTTTTTTTTTTTTTGAGACGGAGTTTCGCTCTTGTTGCCCAGGCTGGAGTGCAATGGCGTGATATTGACTCACTGCAATGTCCACCTCCCAGGTTCAAGCAATTCTCCTGCCTCAGCCACCCAAGTAGCTTGGACTACAGGCGCCCACCACCACGCCCGGCTAATTTTTTGCATTTTTAGTAGAGACAGGGTTTCTCCATGTTGGTCAGGTTGGTCTTGAACTCCCAACTTCAGGTGATCCGCCCACCTTGTCCTCCCAAAGTGCTGGGATTATAGGCGTGAGCCACTGTGCCTGGCCAGATTCAGGGTTTTTCAACGAGTACTTCACAGAATCTTTAGGCATCTTGAGATGCCATTAGGTGTTCTGAGAGATCTTAAGACTAAAAGGAAATAATTTTGAACTGTGTGGTGCACAGTGATAGAGTTCAGAGTGATAGACAACACCTCTAGCAATTCTATTAGCATCTTTCAGTCCTATATAGCAGTGCACAGTAGGACACCATAATGATTTGGTTGAGCCTTTTGTGTATGTTCTCAGGTTTTGACATCAAATTGGGGTCAGGTAAGGGGGTGGGGGAACATTAAAAATCAGTGAGTAGTTGTATTAGTCCATTATCATGCTGCTATGAAGAAATCCCTGAGACTGTATAATTTATAAAGAGAAGAGGTTTAATTGACTCACAGTTCAGCATGGCTGGGGAGTCCTCGGGAAACTTACAATCATGGGGGAAAAGGAAGCAAACACGTCCTTCTTCACATGGCAGCAGCAAGGAGAATTGCCAAGCAAAAGGGGAAAAGCCCTTTATAAAATCGTCAGATCTCATGATTATTCACTATTATTAGAACACCATGGAGGTAACCGCCTCCATGATTCAATTACCTCCCACGGGGTCTGTCCCACAACACGTAGGGATTATAGGAAATACAATTCAATATCAGATTCGGGTGGGGACACAGACAAATCATATCAGTGCTCTATTGAGAAAGAGGAGGACAGTAGGCTGACAATGTCACCCTCTATGTATTTTTACCTCTTTAAGCCTTCTCTTAAGCACCACCTATTAAATTACAGGAGCAAGTCCCACATGTATCATTGAAAATGCTTCATCTGAAAACAAAGTTTTTATGCTCCATGAATCGGGAGTCCTCCTGATACTTTGCTATTATTGTTAAGTGCCGCAGAATATGAATAGTGTAGGTTGGAAGAGTTGTTAAGTTTTAACGTTTTTTGTTATTTTCTTTTTAAATTATTTATTGTTCATTTTTATGTTATTCATATTTCTGTTTACAAACATTTTTGCACGTCCATAATGGTGTTTCCTTAACTTGAAGTGTGAGATGGAAGAGGATGATTTTAGACATGTTTCTATGGATATTTTGATAAGATTGGTAATACAGGATTAAGATATTCAGTCATTTCAAAGTAATTGGCACCACAGCAACCAAGAAAAATACAAAAACTACAGCAACAACAACAATGAAACTTGTCTTTAACATAAATGTTAATTATTAATTAGTTTTACATGAACTAATAATCCAAGCTGTTATATCCTGTTGCAAATAATTTCTAAATGAAGGAATACTTGCAACAAATTTGAAAATACACTTAAATAAACTACACTTGCCCAGCAAGTAGAGCTGCTATAAATGGTACTGGAATCATCAATAAATTCAATGAAGTTTTTGTAAAAAAAAAAAGTCACATTCAATAAAAAGTCTCAAGAACCAAGTTATTTAGTAGCAGCAATTATTGACCAAAAAAGGAAAAGTTAAATAGTTGATGGGAACATAATGATGCCAGCTTGTAAAATTGTAGTGAAAAATGGTAGGTCAAGATGTAACTGGATAAATTGAAGACCCCACTGTCTAACAGTATGACAGACTGAAATATTGAAGGCACCTGAAGCTTGAAGACATTTCAGGGTAACAAATGGAAGAACAACAGTTTGTCCTTTTAGATTGATGAGTTAACTCATTTTAACATTAAATGTCAAACTCTAGCATTTGTAAAAGGTGTAAATGTTGGTGAAATTCATGAACAATGTTGCTCTGCTGCAAAGTACTATCTAAAACAAGAAAACGCCAAGATGTATTTAATGTTTTGTTTTCATATCTAGAAAATTCTGTTCAGGAGAAATTGTGTTGGCTTCTTTACCTATGTTATCCCATGAGTGGTTGGCTCTATGAGAGGTTTTGTCTATTGTATAAAATAAAATCTTGAAACTGTCATATAACACTTATTTATTCATAGAGAAATACTGGTGTCAAAAATACTTAAAGAGGAAATGAAAAGTAAAGTGTCTGGATAACGGCACAAAATGATTTACTTTATTAAATGATCAGTTTACTTGAGAAAATTTTTTAAACATATAAAAACTTGCACAAAGAGTACATAAATCTTTTAAAACATAAACAAATCTGGATTCATAACAGAGGGAGAGCTCTCGGGAAAAACTTTGGAGCTGAAAGGTGAATTTCAGTGGTATATTTGTGGAAATACTAAACCAAATTTTGTCAAATTATTTGAAAATGATAAATGGTCACTCAAACTAACCTAATTGTTTCTTCACTTGAACCAGTTGAATATGTCTCTGCCAAGTCCTATACTGACAAAATTTTTATGCACAAATGAAAACTATATCTTTGAAAAATCATGTTGGAGAAGAAAATCTTTATATGTTTCTACTTTGGGCTAGGCTTGAAAATGAAGTATATCAGTAAATTTCACCTCAATCCCACATTAATTTAAGGTGCTATTAACAGCTGGCCAGAAAAAAATTTATTTAGGAAAAACTTAATAACACAAGAGCCTCTACTGATATTATAAGGTTCTTAATAATATTACAAATCAGTTTTATCAATGTCTAGTTCTATTTGGGCTGCTATTAAAAAAATACCACAGATTGGGTGGATTATAAGCAACAGAAATATATTTCTCACATTTCTGGATGCTGGGATATAAAGATTAAGGCCTTGGAAGATTCAGTGTCTGATGTGGTCCTATTTCTCATAAATGGTGTCTTCTCACTGAGTCTTTATATGGTGGAAGGTGTAAAGCAGCTGCCTTGGGCCTCTTTTATAAGAGCACTCATCTTATTCATGAGGGCTCCACCCTCATGACCTAATCACCCCCTAATGACCCCACCTACTAACAACATCAAATTGATGATTCAATGTTAACAGAAATTTTGGGAGAACACAAACATTGAGATCATAGTAATCAAATAGCACAATGCAACAATTGAAAATCTAGGGAAAAAAATAGAAAATGGAAACAGATCATTAAGAAAACAGATTTAAAAATAATGTTAATTCATATAGTCAAAAATACAGAAAGAGATTTGAAATCCGCCAAAGATAATCAAACAAATACTCTAAAACTGAAAAAATAAATTAATAAAATTAAAAGTCAGTGAATATTAATAGCACACTAAACAGAGCAGAAAAAAGAATTAGGGAAGCAAAAGATAGTTTAGTAGAAAATACCAAATTAAAGTTCACAAAGAAAAAATAATTGAAAATGCAGAAAAAGTTATAAGAGCTATAAGGTATATGGAATAAAGTCTAATATTCAGGTATATTGGAGTTCCAGAAATAAAGAGGGAATAGGATAATCTCAAAAACAAAGAGATAAAAATTTTTTAAATAAGAATTTATATCAGGCATATATTAAAAAAGATATCATTACAAATTTGACTTAATCTACAAATTCAAAATAGGTTCAGCATTTGTATTAGTTTGTTTTCACATTGCTGCAAGGAAATACCCAAGATTTGGTAATTTATAAACAAAGGAGGTTTAACTGACTCACAGTTCTGCATATCGGGGAGGCCTCAGAAAACTTATAATCATGGTGGAATGGGAAGGAGAAAGAAGTACCTTCTTCACAGGGTGGCAGGAAGTGCGTGACTACAGGAAAAACTGCCATTTATAAAACCATCAGATCTTGTGAGAATTCACTCACTATCAACAACATGGGGGAAACCGCTCTCATGATCCAATCACTTCAAACCAAATTTCTCCCCTGACATTTAGGGATTATGGGGATTACAATTCCAGATGAAATTTAGGTGGGGACACAGAGCAAAACTATATAAGCATTTAAAAATTTATCAATGTAATTATCTACACTAACATAGTATGGAAGGAAAATCATCATATGATTATACTAATAAATGCAAAAAAAATTGTTAAAATTCACCAGCTATTTAAAATTTTAAAAAATATCAAGCAGACTAAAAATAGAAGAGAGTTTACTTAATATGATATGGGTATCTACCAAAATCTTACAGCTAACATCCTATTTAATGGTGATATATTGTAAAATTTCCCTGTGAATCCAGGAATGAGATAGAGAAGATTTCTAACATCCTTTCTATTCAATATTTTTTTGGAGAGAGTTTATTGATGAAAGAAAAATAAATAAATGGTATAGGTATTGCAAAGGAAGACATAACACTGTAATTATTCACAGAAAATTTTAGTATATATGAAATTCAAAAGAATATTAGACAATTAGAGTCGATATATGACTTTAGAAAGGTCAATGTATTAAATGTTGATGTAAAAAAGTCTTTTTCTTACAAACAATAACTAAGAAATACAATTTTAAAAAGATATTATCGAGTTATTGGGTGCAGCACACCAACATGGCACATGTATACATATGTAACTAACCTGCACGTTGTGCACATGTACCCTAAAACTTAAAGTATAATTTAAAAAGAGGTATTATTGATCAAAAAAGTAAACTAAGAAACTCGCTTAAGACTTCTACAACAAAGAATATTAATTAGATAAATTAAGAAAGATTAATCAATGGAGAAGACTCTTTTGTACACTTATCACTTCTTCTGAAATAATACTATAGATTCAATGCAATCTCAATAAAAATATCAGCACTGTATAATTGACGAGCCTATTTCAACTCATATAGAAATGAGATAACTAAGAATAAGGACAATTTTTAGGAAAAGAACATTGTTGGAAGATACAATTCCCAATTGTCATCAAAGCTTCTAGTAAAGTCTCACTTGTTAAAACAGGTGTATTAACTCAAGGATAAGCAAATAGACTAATAGGATGTAATAAATAGCACATAAACTGACTGGAGTAAGACAAAGATGTCTCTGCAATACAGTAGGGGAAAATGCTGAGTAATTGTATATCTGCATAGGAAAACAAACCTATTTACATCACATTGTACACAAAACCAGTTCCAGGTAGACTGAGATATATTTGACTGTTAAATAAATAATGCTTCTAGAAATAATATAATATCTATCACTTTGGGGGTAGAAAAAGAATTTTTAAACTAGCTACAGAAAGTACTAACCGTAAAAA
This sequence comes from Homo sapiens, assembly GCF_000001405.40. NCBI lineage: Eukaryota > Metazoa > Chordata > Mammalia > Primates > Hominidae > Homo > Homo sapiens. The sequence continues at coordinate 96,421,314 of NC_000004.12, read as the reverse complement.
AGATTGGTAATTGAACTCCATTAAAATTAGAAATTTGGTTTATCAAAAGAAACCATTAAGAGGGAGAAAATGCAAGTTACAGAGTGAGAAAAGATATATTTATATTCAACAAAGGACTTATATATAGAATAAGCAAAGAATTCCTAAATAAGTAAAAAAGAAAACACAAATTTTATAACATCTATAAAGTTTGAACTGGTCCTTACAAAAAGTAATCAAATGATCAATAAATCAATGTAAAGGATTTCAACATCAGTAGTTATGAGGTAAATAAAAACTAAAGCCTAAAATGAATGCCAAAACTTCATCACAGCAGTGGCAATAATTAATAATAATAATAAAAGATGATTTTAAGTGTTGGTGAAGATATGGAGCAAATAGAATGTTCATTCACTATTGGTTAGAATATAGATTGGTACAACTGATTTAGAAAACAGTTTTATAATATTTACTAAAGTTTAGCTTATAAATACTTAATGAGTTATTAAATGTAGACCAAGATTGTTCATGGCAGTTTTTCCAAAATCTTCAAACAATGCAAATGTTCACCAATAGAATGGTAAATTCTATGGGGCTCTACGAAGCATGGAAATCTCACAGACACAATAGTGAGTGAAAGAAGCAAGACACGAAATAATTTGTAACATTTTATGTCATTTATACAAAACTCAATCACAGGCAAAAAAAATTATGATGAGAGAAATCAAAGTAACCACTCTCTTTGAGACGTGGTAATAACTGGGAGGGGAGGAAATGGAGACTTCTGGGATGATGGTAAGATTCTATATCTTCATCTGAATTGTGACTATGTGAGTGCGTTATCACTGAGCTGTACAAATTATAATCTGTGTACTTCTCTGTATGTGTGTGATACTTCAATGGGAGCAAATTGAGATTAAAATAAATTGTGAGGCTGTAAGAAAAGAAGAAAATGAAATAGTTCTATGTAGCTAAGATTGTATTTGTGTTTGATTTACTGTTTTATGTGCATATTAGATACTAAAACATACTTTATTTTGGACAAAAAAAGAACCAGTCAAAATTATTTCAAAAGAAAATTATTGTTTAAAAATATTATAATCCCATTTTTGTCAAATACATGTCTTTAATACGTACTAAATTAATTGTTCTTAGATTACTAAGTAACTTTGTAATTACCTTTTACCTAAGTGCCAATTTGGGATATAGCAAATCTGTCTATCTTTGGACTCTGTTTTCCATTGATTCATGAGGCTATGCATGTTCAGAAGTTCAATTATGTTATTCATTTTATTTTTAGGATAAATTTAGAATTAGCTTGACTATTTCTAGTAAGGCGTAAAAACAATATTGGCATTGTACTGTGGTTATATTTTCAAATTAGACTTCACTGAATTAATATTGTTTTCCTAGCTAATGATAGAATGTGTATTACCATTTGTTCATCTTTTTGAAAATGTTCCACGATGGTGTTTAATAACTTTTTGTAGAGATTTTTTCTTATTTCTTACATATTTGTTTCTTAATATTCTTTTTCATTGCTTTAGTAGATGGGTTATTTGATATTTCATGGTGTTTTCCTCCATAGACTATGGGAAAACCACTTTAAAAAATAAATGATCTGATAAGCAGCTACCTAAGCACATTCTCTTGTAGTATGAAAAGACTTTGTTGTTGTTTTTCTTGTGTTTCTAGTACCCAGTTTTACCATCTGTAAATTGTGATAATTTTATTTCCCTCTTTCCAAGTTTCTGACCTCTAATTTCTTGTTTCTTTTTTTTAATTGCAGTGGCCCACTCTGCTCATAAAAATAATACATGTTTTATGAAGTTTTGATTAGGCATCCAGCATGATTTGCTCAGAATCTGAAGGCAGGGAGAATGGATGGTTGACTAAAAATAACAAATTTGGTGTTCATCGTCTGCAGTCTTCTTAAAAGACATTATATAGGGAGGAAGAGGGAAAAAGAGAACTACAACACTTATAACAATTATTATAGGGCCAGGTACAGTGTCTCACACCTGTAATCCCAGCACTTTGGGAGGCTGAAGTGGAAGGATCACCTGAGGCCAGGAGTTCAAGACCAACTTGGACAACATAGCAAGACCCCATCTCTTAAAAAAAACAAAAATTAAAGTTAGCAGGGCATGTTAATACATGCCCATAATCTTAGCTACTCAGGAGGTTGAGGTAGGAGGATCACTTTTGAGGATGAAGTGAGTTATAATTGTGCCACCATACTCTAGCCTGGGTGATAGAGAACCTTTCTCTAAAATAAAAATTTTTTAAAATTATAATAACATTTTCCATAAGGAATTGAAGTAAATTCATTTATTATTATATATATTACATATAATACTCTCTATATATATTTATATACCCTAGGCTTCTAACAGATCATATCTGTTTTTGACAAATGGGAACAACATTCAAATAATCACTCTAATTCAAGGTGTGTATATTTATAATCTTAAAATACATAAGTCATCTTTTTAAGCTCATTTATAAGAGCTTACATACTAGTCAGTGAGTGGACAAGGGTTAGTGCAGAAAACTACACTTGGTTGGAGACGAATTTTGTCATAAAAACACGAAGGCAGAGCCCTAATTCCACTGTGCAGTACTTATTTGCCAGGGAAGGAAATAAAGATTGTCATCCAAGTCATTACCAATGATGAAATAACTTCTCCCTACCTCATATTCCACCAATAGTACCTTCTGGGTTTTCAAACATTTCCTTTTAAAAAGTTCTAGCAGCAAAGGGGGATTGAGGAATGGAAATCTCTAGAGGCTCTCCATATATGTGAACTTTCTGTTAAGCGTTCTCTTTTCTGTAAAAGAACCTCAATATTTTTTCCTCTTTACCATATCTTATTTGTTTGCATATAAATATAGTTTTAAAAATATTAAAATTACTTTCCTGAGAGATGTGCCAGTTTGTTTTGTGGCTTCCACGGAGAGAGGGCTGCCATTTGAGAAACACCTAACCTTTATGGTAGATTGTAATATTCCATATGTGACTCCCAAGCCCTGAGCCAACAGAGTAGCTGAGGCCAGTACAAACCATAGAGTGTCATTAGTATTTTCTAGCTTACATCTACATTTCCATCTTTTATTTCAATCTCTGAATAGAGCCAGGTGACTTATCATCAAAAATACATTTCAAGAAATCGTTGCACCCTGAACAGCACCATTCTGCAGTGTAATAAATGAAGCATGTTTTTATTTGCCGCATTGTCATATTTGTTAGAGCCAGTGGTGGTATATATGCCAGAATTACTTTGTATAAATAAATAAAAGGCTAAAAATTATGCACTTTTATAAGTTCTTGAATACTACATAGGATGAAAGGAGAAATAAATATGAACAATACTGGCTTTAAAAAAAACAGTCAGGCTCTAGCAACTATTTTGAAAGGCTAGCAACCTTACTTTTTATTCATTTCAATCCCCTTAGCTACTCTGAATTATTTAAATGATATATGTTTATACTAGGTAGAACCCATTTGTGTGTTTATCCAGGGGCAAATTATAGAACAATGTGTTTCGTATAGAAGTCTATTTTTGATGTTCTATTTTTCACACTAAAAAACTTGATGCAGCATGGGTCAATGGGCTGAAACTTGTGCCAGTTCTTTTTATTGAAACATTAAATTTGGAATCTTTCTCTGGAGTCGGCAGAAGGCAAGTAATCTATTAGAGTGTGCACAAAAGTTTTTTTCTCCTATGACGATTGTATTTCTGTTTTCTACACATGTCATTACTCTTATTATTCTATTATTCTGTGACAAAACAACATGTAATTTTGTGTATGCACATTTGTATGTATGCATAGTATATCTGTGCATTGTGTATAATTTAACTTATTAAATTGAAAGATATACAATGGAATATAATAGTGTTTAAGAGAAATATTTATGGAGTAAAAGTAGATAGCTTAAACCCAGCTGTATCATTACCTGAGTGATTTTGAAGTTGTTATTTAACTCCTTCAAGCCTTAATTTCCCCATCTATAAAGTGATAAAACAAAAATTTCTATTCCATACAGCTGTTACCAGAATTAATCCAGGTGACCCATGTAAAATACTATGCAATTGCTACTTGCTAACTCCTATTATTACAATTAGCTTTCAATAAATATTTGAATACTGGCAATAGTTTTTTAAAGCCATTTAGTTATAATTATATCATCATCCTTCAGTTCCGAAATTTACTGTTATCTCAGGCAAGTTATTTACCCTCTCTGAGCCTCAGTTACTCATTCATAAATAATGATAATAATATTACCTATTTCATGTGGTGTCTCAAAGATAAATGAGATGAAACATGGAAAGTGTTCAGAACTGGGTGGCACATGGTAAATGCTCAATAAATATTTGTCAACATTATTATTATTGGCTTTTCTACTAATATTATATTTTAATTTAATGAACTAAGATTTAATATTTTACTTAATTTCTCTTGTTCTATCTTTTATGCTCCTTTCCGGTTTCAAGAAAATCTCTTATATAAAACTTCATTCTCTACAAATTATATATGTGTCATATATTTTTTTTCCTTAAATCAGTAACTAAACTTCCTTTGGAGACTATTAAATACAAAATGCATATTTATCTTTATTTTCTACCTCAAGGCAAATAAATCACCTTTTATATTATTTGATGGTGAATGGCAAGGTTGTTTCTCCTCCTCTGGTACCCTCCACCAGGGCCATATTGTATAGTAGAGACACATCAGTCAAAATACACAGAAGACCATAGTTCTTAGCAAGGGCTAATAAAACATAAATTGCAAGCAGACTATTTGATAGTTATTGCACTTGTCAAACCAAACAAGCTATTGCTTGAGTGGTATGACTTAGTGGAAAGCCTTGCAAGTAAATCCCAGCACTTGTCTGACCCTGCTGGACTCACGAACTCTCTAATGGCAGCAACATTCCACTGCCTGAACAAAGTCATTGCATAGCATCAATGAGCACACCTCAGAGGCTCTAAGGACAACCTGGGCATAGCTACAAAAAATGGAATTATTGTCTAAAGATACAGAGGTTGCTGTTAGTACCTGACAAATCTATTCATACCTAACTTAATACAAAACAAATGTATCTTCAAGTGATAGTACCAAAGCCCATTTTATGTGTCACTTCAATCTCCAAAACTCGGCATATTATTACTTGTTATGTTTTATGGATCTTTCTCCACTATCACATCTTTCATACTTAAGAAGGTATAATATTTAGGGTTCTTATGCAAATTAAATAATGATTATGTTAGAACTTGTATTGCCTTCTAAACCAAAGCTAAGAGCTCTGAACATAGCAGCAAGTAATGTTTCCCTTCAACCTATTTATTTTTGGAGGGGAGAGTAGTAAAAGAAACATACAATTTTGTTAACCTGAAACTAATTTATCATGTTTCACTGTTTTTATCTTTATATTATTTCATAAAATAGTGTTTTCCTCGCATTTTTATGAGTTGCTTACTGTTTCACATCGTTATTGCATATTGCCCTAATAAGTACTTAAAGGGAAACATCCAGATTTCATGCAATGTACAGTTTAATTCAAATTGACAAATATTTTTTCAGAAATTAAGATTGTCAGAGGATGTGCCTGACTATGATGGTAGAGTTTGCAATTTCAATAATTTTTAATCATGTCTCTTCATGTTGTTAAATGTTGCTATGTGCTACCATTTATGTTATATATTTTTCAACAAAATACATGGACAGCATATATTTTGGAAAATGAGTTAATTTGGGCAGTGTTTCCTTCTATTTTCTTTTGTTGTGTTCTTTTATATCTGAAGCACTTGCAAATTTCCTGTGTAAATATTGAAAAAAATTAGAAACTACACATGTGCAAATGAATAAAAGAAGCAGATGACAGTTACCCTGTTACTCGTAAATATAGTACCTTTGTTTCTTGGCAGGAGCAAGATGGCATATCTGTTCTTCCTAACTTCCACATTCCCTTGTCCATTTAGACACATTTCTTGACATCTATAAGTCTTAATATCTTCTATTGTGTAAATAAAATAATACTTCCGTATTCTTAGGTTTGCCCTGAGTCTAAAATGAATGACGCATATAAAATGCATAACACAGTATTCGGGGGAGGAGCCAAGATGGCCGAATAGCAACAGCTCCGGTCTACAGCTCCCAGCGTGAGCGACGCAGAAGATGGGTGATTTCTGCATTTCCATCTGAGGTACCGGGTTCATCTCACTAGGGAGTGCCAGACAGTGGGCGCAGGTCAGTGGGTGCCCGCACCGTGCGCAAGCCAAAGCAGGGTGAGGCATTGCCTCACTCGGGAAGCACAAGGGGTCAGGGAGTTCCCTTTCCTAGTCAAAGAAAGGGGTGATGGACGGCACCTGGAAAATCGGGTCACTCCCACCCAAATACTGCGCTTTTCCAACGGGCTTAAAAAACGGCGCACCACGAGATTATATCCCACACCTGGCTCGGAGGGTCCTATGCCCACGGAGTCTCACTGATTGCTAGCACAGCAGTCTGAGATCAAACTGCAAGGCGGCAGCGAGGCTGGGGGAGGGGCACCCGCCATTGCCCAGGCTTGCTTAGGTAAACAAAGCAGCCAGGAAGCTCGAACTGGGTGGAGCCCATCACAGCTCAAGGAGGCCTGCCTGCCTCTATAGGCTCCACCTCTGGGGGCAGGGCACAGACAAACAAAAAGACAGCAGTAACCTCTGCAGACTTAAATATCCCTGTCTGACAGCTTTGAAGAGAGCAGTGGTTCTCCCAGTACGCAGCTGGAGATCTGAGAACCGGCAGACTGCCTCCTCAAGTGGGTCCCTGACCCCTGACCCCCGAGCAGCCTAACTGGGAGGCACCCCCCAGCAGGGGCACACTGACACTTCACAAGGCAGGGTACTCCAACAGACCTGCAGCTGAGGGTCCTGTCTGTTAGAAGGAAAACTAACAAACAGAAAGGACATCCACACCAAAAACTCATCTGTACATCACCATCATCAAAGACCAAAAGTAGATAAAACCACAAAGATGGGGAAAAAACAGAACAGAAAAACTGGAAACTCTAAAAAGCAGAGCGCCTCTCCTCCTCCAAAGGAACGCAGTTCCTCATCAGCAATGGAACAAAGCTGGACGGAGAACAACTTTGACGAGCTGAGAGAAGAAGGCTTCAGACGATCAAATTGCTCTGAGCTATGGGAGGACATTCAAACCAAAGGCAAAGAAGTTGAAAACTTGAAAAAAATTTAGAAGAATGTATAACTAGAATAACCAATACAGAGAAGTGCTTAAAGGAGCTGATGGAGCTGAAAACCAAGGCTCGAGAACTACGTGAAGAATGCAGAAGCCTCAGGAGCCGATGTGATCAACTGGAAGAAAGGGTATCAGCGATGGAAGATGAAATGAATGAAATGAAGCGAGAAGGGAAGTTTAGAGAAAAAAGAATAAAAAGAAATGAGCAAAGCCTCCAAGAAATATGGGACTATGTGAAAAGACCAAATCTACGTCTCATTGGTGTACCTGAAAGTGACAGGGAGAATGGAACCAAGTTGGAAAACACTCTGCAGGATATTATCCAGGAGAACTTCCCCAATCTAGCAAGGCAGGCCAATGTTCAGATTCAGGAAATACAGAGAACACCACAAAGATACTCCTCGAGAAGAGCAACTCCAAGACACATAATTGTCAGATTCACCAAAGTTGAAATGAAGGAAAAAATGTTAAGGGCAGCCAGAGAGAAAGGTCGGGTTACCCTCAAAGGAAAGCCCAACAGACTAACAGCGGATCTCTCGGCAGAAACCCTACAAGCCAGAAGAGAGTGGGGGCCAATATTCAACATTCTTAAAGAAAAGAATTTTCAACCCAGAATTTCATATCCAGCCAAACTAAGCTTCATAAGTGAAGGAGAAATAAAATACTTTACAGGCAAGCAAATGCTGAGAGATTTTGTCACCACCAGGCCTGCCCTAAAAGAGCTCCTGAAGGAAGCGCTAAACATGGAAAGGAACAACCGGTACCAGCCGCTGCAAAATCATGCCAAAATGTAAAGACCATCGAGACTAGGAAGAAACTGCATCAACTAACTAGCAAAATAACCAGCTAACATCATAATGACAGGATCAAATTCACACATAACAATATTAACTTTAAATATAAATGGACTAAATGCTCCCATTAAAAGACACAGACTGGCAAATTGGATAAAGAGTCAAGACCCATCAGTGTGCTTTATTCAGGAAACCCATCTCGCGTGCAGAGACACACATAGGCTCAAAATAAAAGGATGGAGGAAGATCTACCAAGCAAATGGAAAACAAAAAAAGGCAGGGGTTGCAATCCTAGTCTCTGATAAAACAGACTTTAAACCAACAAAGATCAAAAGAGACAAAGAAGGCCATTACATAATGGTAAAGGGATCAATTCAACAAGAAGAGCTAACTATCCTAAATATATATGCACCCAATACAGGAGCACCCAGATTCATAAAGCAAGTCCTGAGTGACCTACAAAGAGACTTAGACTCCCACACATTAATAATGGGAGACTTTAACACCCCACTGTCAACATTAGACCGATCAACAAGACAGAAAGTCAACAGGGATACCCAGGAATTCAACTCAGCTCTGCACCAAGCGGACCTAATAGACATCTACGGAACTCTCCACCCCAAATCAACAGAATATACATTTTTTTCAGCACCACACCACACCTATTCCAAAATTGACCACATACTTGGAAGTAAAGCTCTCCTCAGCAAATGTAAAAGAACAGAGATTATAACAAACTATCTCTCAGACCACAGTGCAATCAAACTAGAACTCAGGATTAAGAATCTCACTCAAAACCGCTCAACTACATGGAAACTGAACAACCTGCTCCTGAATGACTACTGGGTACATAACAAAATGAAGGCAGAAATAAAGATGTTCTTTGAAACCAACGAGAACAAAGACACAACACACCAGAATCTCTGGGATGCATTCAAAGCAGTGTGTGGAGGGAAATTTATAGCACTAAATGCCCACAAGAGAAAGCAGGAAAGATCCAAAATTGACACCCTAACATCACAATTAAAAGAACTAGAAAAGCAAGAGCAAACACATTCAAAAGCTAGCAGAAGGCAAGAAATAACTAAAATCAGAGCAGAACTGAAGGAAACAGAGACACAAAAAACCCTTCAAAAAATTAATGAATCCAGGAGCTGGTTTTTTGAAAGGATCAACAAAATAGATAGACCACTAGCAAGACTAATAAAGAAAAAAAGAGAGAAGAATCAAATAGACGCAATAAAAAATGATAAAGGGGATATCACCACCAATCCCACAGAAATACAAACTACCATCAGAGAATACTACAAACACCTCTATGCAAATAAACTAGAAAATCTAGAAGAAATGGATAAATTCCTCGACAAATACACTCTCCCAAGACTAAACCAGGAAGAAGTTGAATCTCTGAATAGACCAATAACAGGCTCTGAAATTGTGGCAATAATCAATAGCTTACCAACCAAAAAGAGTCCAGGACCAGATGGATTCACAGCCGAATTCTACCAGAGGTACAAGGAGGAACTGGTACCATTCCTTCTGAAACTATTCCAATCAATAGAAAAAGAGGGAATCCTCCCTAACTCATTTTATGAGGCCAGCATCATTCTGATACCAAAGCCCGGCAGAGACACAACCAAAAAAGAGAATTTTAGACCAATATCCTTGATGAACATTGATGCAAAAATCCTCAATAAAATACTGGCAAAACGAATCCAGCAGCACATCAAAAAGCTTATCCACCATGATCAAGTGGGCTTCATCCCTGGGATGCAAGGCTGGTTCAACATACGCAAATCAATAAATGTAATCCAGCATATAAACAGAACCAAAGACAAAAACCACATGATTATCTCAATAGATGCAGAAAAGGCCTTTGACAAAATTCAACAACCCTTCATGCTAAAAACTCTCAATGAATTAGGTATTGATGGGATGTATTTCAAAATAATAAGAGCTATCTATGACAAACCCACAGCCAATATCATACTGAATGGGCAAAAACTGGAAGCATTCCCTTTGAAAACTGGCACAAGACAGGGATGCCCTCTCTCACCACTCCTATTCAACATAGTGTTGGAAGTTCTGGCCAGGGCAATTAGGCAGGAGAAGGAAATAAAGGGTATTCAATTAGGAAAAGAGGAAGTCAAATTGTCCCTGTTTGCAGATGACATGATTGTATATCTAGAAAACCCCACTGTCTCAGCCCAAAATCTCCTTAAGCTGATGAGCAACTTCAGCAAAGTCTCAGGATACAAAATCAATGTACAAAAATCACAAGATTCTTATACACCAACAACAGACAAACAGAGAGCCAAATCATGAGTGAACTCCCATTCACAATTGCTTCAAAGAGAATAAAATACCTAGGAATCCAACTTACAAGGGATGTGAAGGACCTCTTCAAGGAGAACTACAAACCACTGCTCAAGGAAATAAAAGAGGATACAAACAAATGGAAGAACATTCCATGCTCAAGGGTAGGAAGAATCAATATCGTGAAAATGGCCATACTGCCCAAGGTAATTTATAGATTCAATGCCATCCTCATCAAGCTACCAATGCCTTTCTTCACAGAATTGGAAAAAACTACTTTAAAGTTCATATGGAACCAAAAAAGAGCCCGCATCGCCAAGTCAATCTTAAGCCAAAAGAACAAAGCTGGAGGCATCACACTACCTGACTTCAAACTATACTACAAGGCTACAGTAACCAAAACAGCATGGTACTGGTACCAAAACAGAGATATAGATCAATGGAACAGAACAGAGCCCTCAGAAATAACGCCGCATATCTACAACTATCTGATCTTTGAGAAACCTGAGAAAAACAAGCAATGGGGGAAGGATTCCCTATTTAATAAATGGTGCTGGGAAAACTGGCTAGCCATATGTAGAAAGCTGAAACTGGATCCCTTCCTTACACCTTATACAAAAATCAATTCAAGATGGATTAAAGATTTAAACATTAGACCTAAAACCATAAAAACCCTAGAAGAAAACCTAGGCAGTACCATTCAGGACATAGGCATGGGCAAGGAGTTCATGTCTAAAACACCAAAAGCAATGGCAACAAAAGACAAAATTGACAAATGGGATGTAATTAAACTAAAGAGCTTCTGTACAGCAAAAGAAACTGCCATCAGAGTGAACAGGCAACCTACAAAATGGGAGAAAATTTTTGCAACCTACTCATCTTACAAAGGGCTAATATCCAGAATCTACAATGAACTCAAACAAATTTACAAGAAAAAAACAAACAACCCCATCAAAAAGTGGGCGAAGGATATGAACAGACACTTCTCAAAAGAAGACATTTATGCAGCCAAAAGACACATGAAAAAATGCTCACCATCACTGGCCATCAGAGAAATGCAAATCAAAACCACAATGGCATACCATCTCACACCAGTTAGAATGGCAATCATTCAAAAGTCAGGAAACAACAGGTGCTGGAGAGGATGTGGAGAAATAGGAACACTTTTACACTGTTGGTGGGACTGTAAACTAGTTCAACCATTGTGGAAGTCAGTGTGGCGATTCCTCAGGGATCTAGAACTAGAAATACCATTTGACCCAGCCATCCCATTACTGGGTATATACCCAAAGGACTATAAATCATGCTGCTATAAAGACACATGCACACGTATGTTTATTGCAGCACTATTCACAATGGCAAGACTTGGAACCAACCCAAATGTCCAACAATGATAGACTGGATTAAGAAATTGTGGCACATATACACCATGGAATACTATGCAGCCATAAAAAATGATGAGTTCATATCTTTTGTAGGGACATGGATGAAGTTGGAAATCATCATTCTCAGTAAACTATCGCAAGAACAAAAAACCAAACACCGCATATTCTCACTCATAGGTGGGAATTGAACAATGAGATCACATGGACACAGGAAGGGGAACATCACACTCTGGGGACTGTTGTGGGGTGGGGGGATGGGGGAGGGATAGCATTGGGAGATATACCTAATGCTAGATGACGAGTTAGTGGGTGCAGCTTACCAGCGTGGCACATGTATACATATGTAACTAACCTGCACAATGTGCACATGTACCCTAAAACTTAAAGTATAATAATAAAAGAAAAAAAATAAGAAAAAGAAAAAAAAATGCATAACACAGAATAGATACTGGACAAATTTAATTCTTCTCTTCCTTTCTCCTTTGGTTGAAACTAGTAATTAACAGTCAAAAATGGATCTCTTAACTATACATTTAATTTGAGATGCAATTACAAGGATATGTTGGCTTCTGAATGAGAAATTGATGCTTGATGAAAGTGATTCTTACTGGAATGAATAGAAATGAATTGAAGATTAGAGACTTCACAGCTATGAATCTAATGTGAGCATATAGGTCTTTGCACAGACAAACTGCATGGCAGTTAGAGATTATGATGCAAAAAATAGATTAAAAATAGATTTTAGAAATGCTTCGAAGTTAAATAATTATAGTTTTTATATGATAGAGAATAAGAAAAGAGAGGATTACCTTTTCATTCTAAATTTGATTAAATGAAATAACACAGCTTACAACAGCATTGGCAAAATTATAATTAAGGACACTCAGATTGTCTCAAAAGTTACATTGGTTTTTAGAAGAGAAAGCTATGGATTCATATTATCCAGCAATAAAAATGTTAGTATGAGTAAACTAAGAGTGACACATATACCTATTTCAAGCAGGTATAGTTATGAAATCAATTATGAAGTTCAGACAAAAGAGCAGTACATGGAATCATGATGTATGTTCCAAAAGAAAACACAATATTTATGACTATTACTATACATAATAAGAGGTGGGGCAGAATAAGTTAGGATGGTAGAGGGATAACTAGCTGATACATAGCTCCTCCATCCCCTAAAATGGAAATTTTGCTTCAAAGTGACAGGCCAAAACCAATCCTTGGTAAAGGCCAAAAAGAAGGAAGGCCTCTGCGAGTTAATCATTTTGAGCTGACCCCAGTTGGTCTTCATGCTCCACTAATGCAGAGACAGGGCGACAGCATTTCTTTTCATTGATAATTGCTGACTGAGTTTGGAAATACTGAATTTGAGAAGAGAGGAGGAGAGGTAGGGAAAACAGCTTTTTATTCACTGCATAAATGCTGCCTAATCAGCTGTAGCAAGCAGGAAGTTGCCAGTGAGAGAGGAGAATCACAGGGTGCCTATTAAATTCAGTTTCTGCTCTTGATTCAGTTTTATCGCTTGGTAAACAAAGCTTGGGTTTAAATGATTTAGGGTTCATGAGTCCAGACCAAGTTTCTTCTACTCAAGGAGCTGGGTCAGTTTGTGACCAGCCTAACTAAAAATTCATAAATATAATTGTTTAATCTGTTGTGTAAATTGAGAGTCGCTCTGGATTTTTAATCCCCATTTACTTTTCATTCGGCAATGCTCTGCTGTCTCCAGCCTGAGAGGAATCTGACTCACATACAATGGGAAGCTCTAGATGTTTTTGCCTCTGAGACATACTCAGTTTATTGTGGTTTCTCCATTCATCATTTTATACTGCCCTTGACTGAAACTGGACTTGAACAGAACTCTCCTGAGTTACCTCTGAACAGAAAATCTTAGTCTAGTCACTATTTATTAATGCAGACAGTAATACATAATGAAATGCCATTAATTCACAGATGCAATATTGGTTTCTAATTTGAGGCATCACATATAATTATCAGTAGATTAGTTACTCAGATTCATAGCCTGGAGACTGTGGGGAAAATGTGCCTAATTCTACTACCTGAACTGTCAGAAAATAGAATGATGTCTATTTCTTATGAGGGCAACTAGGAAATCTCTGAAGCCTTCACATCGTTATAAATTTATGGCTCAGTCCATAAAGAGAGCTCCAGAAAATCAGCTCTGCTGCTTGTTATTTCTCCACAGCTCTCATCTCAGACTGTGCTTGCAAAGAGCTTCATCTTAGAAAAAGCACTTTATTTCAGTGCAACAGTTAGAGGCCATTATCCTGCTGGATTTGGGGGTAAAGGGCATCAAAACATGGCAGCCGTATTTCTAAAGCCCTGACTTCGGAAAGTTTAAAGGAGTTCAACGTTTGATCAACCTTTTGGGGGGCATGCTTCTTATTCATGGCATGAATTGCTAACCTCTGACTTTGTGTTTGCTTAGCTAATATAAAGCATTTGCACCCCAGAGCAACCCTGCTTATGCTCACATCTATTGTTCAAGACTAGGTTCAGAAAGTGCTTTTCCATTCTGGGAAAGAGGAACAGGCATACTGAAGCTTCAATTATATATTCACAAAGGCTGGCCTTTCTGCAAGGAAGTATAAATGTTTGTAGAAAACATTGTCTATCTTGGCTTTGAGGCAAACACAGTCAGCAGGGAAGTGTGGGGATGTCAGGTAAACATAATCAAGCCATTCGTGGGAAATATGAGAGGAGAAAGAGGGAGATTAATGAAGCCTGGATTCAGCCGGGTTGTTTCGCAGTCTATTTAGCTAAATTGTCTTTCTCTAATTGTTTTTCTCCCAGGATCTTAAAAAAGAGAGAGGCAATTTCAATATTATAAAGCTAAGCTTTATTATTAGCAACTTCAATTCTTTCACAAAGAAATATGTACAGTATTATGGTAGCAACCAGTAAAAATTCTAGTTAAGGATTTGTCAACAATTCCAGGATAGACTTTTGTTTTGGAGATTTCTATTTCAAAAGTTAAATATTTGCTTTAGGGTAAAATGGCTCAAATATTCTCATCCCAAGAGCATTTTCCTTTGCCCAACATTTTTTTTTTAATCTTCAAAAAAGTGATCTTTGTCAGTGCTTTTCTGAAGACTTCTGTTCATAATTTACATGAATGTTAATAGTGTGAAGACATAAAATTAAGATTCAACTCAGTCATTGAGAATAGAATTATAAACAGTAGTAATCATCTCAAATTCAAAATTATTTTTCTATTACGGTGGATCTAGCTGAATGTCAATCATCTATAAAAATGGAAAATAAGGATGGGTAAATTAAGTACCTAATATATTCCTAAACCTCATGTAAATTAATAATTTTCTTCATTTCTTCTTAGTGGTTCCTACCAACTATCAATCAGACCAATAAATAAACTTGAGCAACAATGGCACTACTTTTTATCAACTTTCAGAGACATACATACATTATTAAGCAGGAAAATGGTCATATAAGCAATAAAAAAGAAAGATAATTCAACAAATATCTAGAATGAGACTTGTGACTCATAGACAGACTTTGAGGAAATTCATGGATCCCAGATATTCAACAGGTTTAGTGTATGTGTATGCATGTGTATGAATATGCCTATATAGGAATATGCATACTATGTATATACCATGTAAATGTGTTTATTTTTTCTGACAAAATCAATTTAAATGTGAACTAATTTAAATAATTCCATTTATTAATTTATGAACAATTAATATATGACTGTACTATAGTAGAACTGCCCTAGCTCATCTTAATGTCTTCTGCTGAAGTATCTAGAACCTCTAGAAAAATCTAATATAGCCTGAAATGTTCTTTCAAATATATGCTTCATAGCTAAGCATTCATCATTTTATGCAAGAAAGAAAATGGTGAGGATAAGAATGTAAAACTTAATATATTAGGTAAAGCACTAGTGCACAAGAAGCCTGGAAGAGAAACATTCATAAAAATTGTAGTGAATGGAAACAAAAATGGGTGATAGAAGAAATGCATGTCTTTGTCCCAACAATGTGACCCTGGGCAACTCACAGACTTTTCAGCTCTCTTTGACATCATGTGTAAAATGAGGCTTCTTATGACTCTAACAATATATGATTGCATGATTTCTTTTCATCAGTGAACAGAGATATTCATTTTTTTCCTATCCAATTTTGGGTTAAGAGAACTTCAAAGAAAAGACTGATTTTACTTAAATTTCTTAGAAATGTTTGGGAAATTTTTAATCATTTTTATTGTAAATTCTAATGAAGGTTGGGATTATTTTTCTTTTCTTTGCCTAATTTTTGTCTTATTTTTTTCTTCCCCCATAATCACAAGAGAGCAAAACATAAAGAACTTTTTCTCTTTTTTTCTGCTAAGATGATTGGTAATCCATAAGTGGCTACAAATATCTGATAAATTTAGACACAAAGACATACTAGACCTGAAAGACCTGCCTGTTAGTCCTTAAAAGGTCAATACTGAAGCAGTACCAGAATATGTTGGAAAGTCAGTGGAGTGGTATTGGATGACATTACAGCAAGATTAAAAAAAAGATGAATGAATAGAAGCATTAAATAAAGCTGTGTTACTGTGGGCAAATACTTAATCTTTCTATTTTCTAAAATTCTAAAATGGGAACATTAACAGAACCTAAATAACAATGTTAACATGAAAACAAAAATTATAGAATAATTACATAATTTTTAGCTACTATTTTTGTTATTAATAACAAAGTCAACTCACAAATGATTATTTGAAGCACTGAAAGGTATTGAAAGAACAGACTTTGCAAGTATATACTGGAAGAAAACTAAAAAAAAAAAAGTTTTCTCTACTGGGAGCATCTTTGAAATAAAGATGTGCTACCTGTTCTTCTCTCCTCTCCTCATAATGTTATATATTAGGAAACTACTTCAGTGAGATATATTAGTTAATGCATATTTATTATACAGCTCCATTACTTCATTAGTTATGTAATGATACTTCAGATGCTTTATATTATATGTGCATTCCAAAGCACATAACAATATGATAATATTTTTTTCTGAGCAAAGCATCATCTTCACACTGACTTAAAACAGTTTTTGCATTCTGTACAGTGGTGTTTTGAATGTTTCTTTGTTCATAATTATATTCCAGTCTAGATATGAATTTTAAGAAAATTTTCCAACATTTATGAAGGCACAGAGTATTGTAGCCTAACAGATCAATGATCTTAGCATTGTGAGTTATTTCAGCTCCACCACACAGCCTCTATTCAGCACTATTCTAAAACTCTCAAAGTAGGAGCCATAAAAAAGTACATTAAAATTTTATCTAACGTTGATTCTGTTTTTAAGAATATATTTCAAGCAGTTTAGATATTTATGGTAGCTTATACTTTATTGAATTTATTTAATACATTTAATCAATTGGCAGAAAAATGTATATTATTCTCTGGGGTTTTCATGAAGAGTAGTCCTTAGTGTCATCATCATTATTGTATTCTTTTGTTAAGAAACTATTCATTATCCTTTTCTTTCTGTTGTTAAATCAAAGAACACATCACACTAACACAATATTTTGTTTCCTTTACCTCAGTTTTGTTTCCTTTGTGCATTTTCCTCCTACAACTTCCTTTCATCTCTTTTAACTCTCTTTCTGACAGGATATGGACCTAAGCTATATATCTATATAACATATAGTATATATTATAACGAAATATGTATATACATAGTTATACATGCCAAAACACTCATTTAAACATACATAATGTGATTAAGCATTCAGCTATTTTACATTCTTATCACTCAACACCTTGATGTCTACAACTTCGCTAAATTATCTGTTGCTGCATAACTAATAACACTAAAATTAGGCAGCTTGAAACAAAACATATTAAGTATCTCACATAGTTTCTAAGAGTCAGGAATCTAGCAGCAGCTTAGCTCTGTAGTTCTGGCCCCAAGTCTCTCTTAGGTCAGTCAATCTGTTAGCCCAGGCTGCATTTCTCTAAAGGCTTGAGTAGGGCTGGAGAATCCATTTCTCAGTCTACTCACATGGCTGTTGGGGGGAGACGTCAGGTCCACACCACGTGGACTGTTCATAGAGTTGTGCACCATATGGCTTGCTTCCATAGAGAGATTGAAAGACAGTGACCATTCTAGGGTTTTTATGGTTTTAGGTCTAAGGTTTAAGTCTTTAATCCACCTTGAATTAATTTTTGTATAAGGTGTAAGGAAGGGATCCAGTTTCAGCTTTCTACATATGGCTAGCCAGTTTTCCCAGCACTATTTATTAAATAGGGAATCCTTCCCCCATTGCTTGTTTTTCTCAGGTTTGTCAAAGATCAGATAGTTGTAGATATGCGGCGTTATTTCTGAGGGCTCCGTTCTGTTCCATTGATCTATATTTCTGTTTTGGTACCAGTACCATGCTGTTTTGGTTACTGTAGCCTTGTAGTATAGTTTGAAGTCAGGTAGCGTGAGGCCTCCAGCTTTGTTCCTTTGGCTTAGGATTGACTTGGTGATGCGGGCTCTTTTTTGGTTCCATATGAACTTTAAAGTAGTTTTTTCCAATTCTGTGAAGAAAGGCATTGGTAGCTTGATGGGGATGGCATTGAATCTATAAATTACCTTGGACAGTATGGCCATTTTCATGATATTGATTCTTCCTACCCATGAGCATGGAATGTTCTTCCATTTGTTTGTATCCTCTTTTATTTCCTTGAGCAGTGGTTTGTAGTTCTCCTTGAAGAGGTCCTTCACATCCCTTGTAAGTTGGATTCCTAGGTATTTTATTCTCTTTGAAGCAATTGTGAATGGGAGTTCACTCATGATTTGGCTCTCTGTTTGTCTGTTGTTGGTGTATAAGAATCTTGTGATTTTTGTACATTGATTTTGTATCCTGAGACTTTGCTGAAGTTGCTTATCAGCTTAAGGAGATTTTGGGCTGAGACAATGGGGTTTTCTAGATATACAATCATGTCATCTGCAAACAGGGACAATTTGACTTCCTCTTTTCCTAATTGAATACCCTTTATTTCCTTCTCCTGCCTAACTGCCCTGGCCAGAACTTCCAACACTATGTTGAATAGGAGTGGTGAGAGAGGGCATCCCTGTCTTGTGCCAGTTTTCAAAGGGAATGCTTCCAGTTTTTGCCCATTCAGTATGATATTGGCTGTGGGTTTGTCATAGATAGCTCTTATTATTTTGAGAAACGTCCCATCAAATACCTCAGGACATAGGCATGGGCAAGGACTTGATGTCTAAAACACCAAAAGCAATGGCAAAAAAGCCAAAATTGACAAATGGGATATAATTAAACTAAAGAGCTTCTGCACAGCAAAAGAAACTACCATCAGAGTGAACAGGCAACCTACAAAACGGGAGAAAATTTTCGCAACCTACTCATCTCACAAAGGGCTAATATCCAGAATCTACAATGAACTCCAACAAATTTACAAGAAAAAAACAAACAGCCCCATCAAAAAGTGGGCAAAGGATATAAACAGACACTTCTCAAAAGAAGACATTTATGCAGCCAAAAGACACATGAAAAAATGCTCATCATCACTGGCCATCAGAGAAATGCAAATCAAAACCACAATGACATACCACCTCACACCAGTTAGAATGGCAATCATTCAAAAGTCAGGAAACAACAGGTGCTGGAGAGGATGTGGAGAAATAGGAACACTTTTACACTGTTGGTGGGACTGTAAACTAGTTCAACCATTGTGGAAGTCAGTGTGGCGATTCCTTAGAGATCTAGGACTAGAAATACCATTTGACCCAGCCATCCTATTACTGGGTATATACCCAAAGGACTATAAATCATGCTGCTATAAAGACACATGCACACGTATGTTTATTGTGGCACTATTCACAATAGCAGAGACTTGGAACCAACCCAAATGTCCAACAATGATAGATTGGATTAAGAAAACGTGGCACATATACACCATGGAATACTATGCAGCCCTAAAAAATGATGAGTTCACATCCTTTGTAGGGACATGGATGAAATTGGAAATCTTCATTCTCAGTAAACTATCACAAGGACAAAAAACGAAACACCACATGTTCTCACTCATAGGTGGGAATTGAACAATGAGAACACCTGGACACAGGAAGGGGAACATCACACTCTGGGGACTGTTGTGGGGTGGGGGGAGAGGGGAGGGATAGCATTAGGAGATATACCTAATGCTAAATGACGAGTTAATGGGTGCAGCACACCAACATAGCACATGTATACATATGTAACTAACCTGCACATTGTGGACATGTACCCTAAAACTTGAAGTATAATAATAATAAAATAAAATAAAAAAAATAAAAAAAAAAGAAAGACAGTGACCATGATGGAAGCCATGGTATCTTTAGAATGTAATCTTGGAAACCACAAACCATCATTTCTGCTGTGTTTTCTTGGTCCTATGGACAACTTATGTGGAAATGAACTACATAAGAATGTAAGCAGATGACAATTTAAGGTAATCATGAAGACTACTATAGCCAGCATTAAAACTAAATATTTGGATAACAACTGGGTTTTCATTAACATTTTCTGTCTCACAGTAATAAAACTTCTAATTTAGTAGTGTGTGTGTATGTTTTATTGAGATACAATTTGCGTGAAATGTATTCTTTTAAAGTGCATAATTTGGTGTGCTTTGTTTTATGTTTTTGGTATATTCACAAAGTTATGCAGCTATTACCGCTATCTAATTCCAGACAATGTCATTACCTTAAAAGAAACTATTTGACAATTAGCAGTCATTTACTGTCCTCTCTCCTTCCTACATTCCCTGAAAACTAGTATTCTATATTCTGTACCTATGGATATGGTTATCCTGGGCAATCAATATAAACTGAGCTATATAATATGTGGCTTCTTGAGTTGATATCTTTCTTTCATTTAGCATAATTATTTCAAGGTTAATTTATGTTGTAGCATGTATAAGCACTTAATTCCTTTTTGTGGCTGAATAATATTCCATTGCAAGGATATAGCACATTTTGTTTATTCATTCTTCAGGTGACAGACATTTGGACTATTTCTACTTTTTGAATATTATGGATAATATTGCTAAGAACATATGTGTAAGTTTATGTATAAGCCTATATTTTTATTCTTTTGTGTATATACCTAGGAGTAGATTTTCTGGGTCATTCCCCTGGTTTTAATACCCTCTCCCACTACCTGATCTTAAGAGAGTGAAAATATTTACTATTCTGAGGAACTGCCAAGATGTTTTCCAAAACAGCTGCACCATTTTACATTTTCACAAACAATGAATGAGTTTCAATTTCTCCACACTTTCACCAACACTTGTTGTTATATTTTTTATTTTAATCATTCCAGTTGATCTATCTTAGTGGGCATAAAGTGATACCTCATTGTGGTTTTGATTTGCATTTCACCTTAGTATATGTCTTTTCATAAACATGTAAACATCTCTGTTGGAATAGTATGCAGTCTTGGAAGGAAGGAAAGAAGAAAGGAAGGAAAGAAAGGAGAAAAGGAAGGAAAAAGAAACGAAAGAGTACATATACCCACATACCTATATATATATGCTATATATACACATATATATTCAGCAAGAAATCCTTTAAAAATTGAGGTGATTCACGTATTAAGTTTCCAAGTAATCAGCATCAGATTGGCATTGGTATTCAATGTATATTTATTGTTTTAAATTATGTGTGTTAAATACAAGAAAAAAAAGCTGTTATCATTAATCCTGAGTTATAAGCCAAAATCACAGTTGAACTCATCAGGTTCCAGTAGATTCCGTACCAACGGGAATCCACAGATAGATTCTTGTATTGTTGTCCTGTTGTGTTGATTCTTGTCATGGTGCTACAAGACAGGGGTGGTAGCTTCAGATTTAAATAAGCCATGGTGAAACACTGGAGAGAAAGTATAGTCAGAAAGAACAGGAAGACCCTCTTAAGATCAAGTAGAGGGAGAGTATTTCAAAATCGAGAGAATAGGACTGTGGTTGCTAAATGAGTAGCAGTCTGCGGGAGCCACAGAGGCACATTTAGATCTACCCTCACAAAACAACTAGATTGTCAGATTTTCAGCTGTGAGGAGTTCAGTTAGCTGACACTCTCCAGTACCAGTGCCTGAAGGATGTGACATGGCATTTGCCCAAAGCAATGTGCCTCCCATTCTTTGTGGACAGACCTTGCCAATGGCTGGGCATGGTAGAGATACAAAGCCTGGCCATTTTGGCCTCATTCAAGACTCCTGTTCTAGCAATCTTTGTGCTTGAGCTTCGGCTTAGGCTAGCTGGGACTTTTTCAGAGCTGCAGTGAGGTGTAGCCTGAGACTTTTTCTACCTAAACTTCCGTCATTACCCTTTTCTTTCGCAGGTGTCAGACCTGTAGCACTGTCTGAGAATTTCACCACCTACTGCTGCTAATACTGTTCACCTTTATCTCTCACCAGTTTTCCTCCAATAAATTTCTTACAGTTCTAACTCTGTCTTGACATGTGTGCTAACTGCAGGACCCAACAGACACAAGAGCTGTCAGTTCTTCGATTTGAAGCCCTCTAAAAATGTGCTGTGTCTCCTGTGTGGACAGGGGAAAGAAGGGCTTTACAGTTACTTAAGAGTATGAGCACATCATAGAAAGTGTGCTTGAAATACTGCAGAACGCTTATATTTCTAACATCACCATATAATTTTATACCATTTTAAAACTTTCATGTAAATATTCTTAAATGTAATATACCCCAAACAACAAAGAAAGTAGACTTTTCTTAAAGGCTCTGAGTCTCCTTTAAATTTTGTATTAATAACTAAAAATATAAATTATACACCTATAGGTTATTAAGAGCTGTGACACTCTTTTCTCACAATATCAATGTTTGTAGGCTGCTAATGTCTCACTTATTACAGGCATGCGTTTCTGTTCTGGTCCTGCATGTCTAAATGGAAAAAAAATGTGTGTCTGCGCTATCACAAGTCTGAACACTCAAGAATTGAGTTTATTTTCTGTTGTTATTTCCATCCTCAACTCATGGGCTAGTTTTGACTATTGATTTCATTCACATTAACTCCTTCCTCTTTAAGTGTATTAAGTTTACTATAATAAAAAGATAATACATTAACACAAAAATGTATGTCTTTGTTAAGTTAATGATAGATGGATCCAGAAGCAGTGTGGTGAAGTAGTAGAAAGAACACAGGTTTCGGAATCTCATAAAATCTTATTATCCATGTGTCCATGAGTAAGGCAAGGCATTTTACTATTCTAGACGTCTCCTTTAGCATCTGACACATTTAATAACACTACAGGTACTCCATAAGGCTGCTGTACAGATTAAACAATATAAATATTTACAAAATTTATCAGTATGTAGCACAACTCTTGGTACATAAGTAATAGTCCTCTTTAACTTCCTTAAAAAACATGGAAATTATTTGGAAGTTAAGCAGGGTTTTTATCAAACTGATATTTTTTTAGCCAGCTGTGCTATAGCAGTTTTTCTGCAGGTTATGGCTATATGTGATTCATAAAACATGTTAAAAAAAACTTTTATTGAGAACACATGGACACAGAGAGAGGAACAATACACACTAGGGCCTGTTGAGGGGTTGGGGGGTGAAGGGAGAGAACTTAGAGGACAGGTCAATAGGTGCAGCAAACGACCATGGCACACGTATACCTATGTAACAAGCCTGCCCGTTCTGCAGATGTACCGTGTTTTTTTGTTGTTATTGTTGTTTTTGTTATTTTTACAAGAAATAACAAAAAAGAAGAGAAAAACTTTAGATAAAATAAATATAGTAGAGTTTACTTGAACAAAGAACAACTCATGAATCAGAAGCTCACAGAAAAAGAAGAGGTTCAGAGAGATCTTCTGCAGCAGCATGGGCAGTGATACAATAAATGTGATACATCACATCTACAGAATGAAGGATGAAAACCATGTGATCATATGAATAGACCCACAAAAATAAATTGATAACATTCAACATTCCTTCATGATTAAAAATTCTAAACAAATTATGAATAAAAAGAACGTACCTCAACACAATAAAGGTCATATATGACAAACCCACAGCTAACATTATACTGAATAGAAAAAAGCTGAAAGCCTTTAAGAATTGGAACAAGATGGGGAAGCCTATTTTCACCATTCCTATTTGACTAGAGATCCTAGCCAGAGCAATTAGTCAAAAGAGAAAATAAAAGGCATTCAAATTGGAAAGGAGGAAGTCAAATTGTCCCTTTTCACAGCCAACATGATCTTATATATAGGAAAACCTCAAGGCTCTGCCAAAAAAAAAAAAATCTTAGAATGAAAAACAAATTCAAAGTTGCAAGACCCAAAATCAATATAAAAAAATCAGTCATGTTTCTATATACCAATAATGAACTAGCTGAAAAAGAAATAAAGAAAGCAATTCCATTTACAATAGCTACAGAAAATAGTAAATTTAAGCCAGGAGGTGAATGACGTCTCAAGAAAAATAACAAAGCATCAATAAAAGAAATTGATGAGGACACAAACAAATAGAAAGACATCTCATGCCCATGGGTTTAAAGAATTAATATTCTTAAGGTAATCATACTACCCAAAGCAATTTACAGAGTCAATGCAATCCTTATCAAAACACCATTGATATTCTTCACAGAAATAGAAAAAATCCTAAAATTTGTATCAAACCACAAAGAACCAAATAGCCAAAGCAATGTTAAGCAAAAAGAACAAAGCTGAAGGCATGACATGACCTGACTTCGAAATATACTACACAGCTGTAGGAACCCAAACAGCATGGTATTGGTTTAAAAACAAACGCATAGACCAATGAACAAAATAGAGAACTTAGAAGTAATTTCACACATTTACAGCCAACTGATTTTTGACAAAGTTGCCTAGAATATACTTTAGGGAAAAGATAGTCTCTTCAATAAATTATTCTGGGAAAACTGGATATATACATACAGAGGAATGAAACTAGACCCCTATATGTCAGCATATATAAAAATCAGTTCAATATTAATTAAAGACTTAAACATAAGACCAAAAACTCTAAAACTACTAGAAGAAAATATAGGAAAAATGCTTCAAGACATACATCTAGGCAAAAATTTTATGGTTAAGACTACAAAAGCACAGCCAACAAAAAACAAAAATAGACAAATGAGACTGTATTAAATTGAAGAGCTTGGATGCAGCAAAATAAACGTTCAACAGAGCGAAGAGAAAAACTTTATAAAGGGAGAAAATATTTGTAAACTCTTATTTGACAAGGGACTAATATCCAGAATATATAAGAAACTCAAACTCAACAGCAAAAAATAATAACAATTCAATTAAATTGGGGGTAAAGTGTCTTTATAGACATTTCTCAAAACAAAACATGCAAATGGCCAACAAATGTATTTCAAAATGTTCAATATCACTAATCATCAGGGAAATGCAAATCAAATCCACAATTTCACTCCGGTTAAAATAACTATTATAAAAAATAAACAAAAAATAACAAATGTTCACAATAGTGTAGAGATAAAAGAATGTTTATATACTGTTGGTGGAAATGTAAGTTAGTACAGTCATTATGGAAAATAATGTAGAGGTTTCTCAAAAAATCAAAAATAGAACTACCATGCAATTCTACAATCCCACCACTGGGTATTTATCCAAAGGAAAAGAAATCAATACATCAAAGGGATATTTGCACTCCCATGTTTATTGTAGCACTCTTCATAACACCTAAGATATGGAATCAACCTAAATGTCTATCAAGAGATGAAGGGATAGAGAAGATATGGCATATATACACAGTGGAATACTATTCAGCCATAAAAAGAACAAAATGAATTCACAGCAAAATGTTATTCACAGCAAAATGAATGAGTCTAGAGGACTTTATGTTAAGTTAAATAAGTCTGTCACAGTAAGATAAGTACAGCATATTCTTATTCATATGTGGAAGCCAAAAAAAATTGAGTTCATGGAAGTAGAAACTAGAATTGTGGGTATTAGAGGTTGGGAAGGGTCGGAGGGAGGAGAGGATTGGGAGAGGTTGGTTAACGGATACAAAATTAAAGCTACATAGAAGGAATGAATTCTGGTATTCTGCAGCACTGTGGAGTGAATATGGGTAACTATAACTTATTGTACAATCTCAAAAGGCTAGAAGAGAGGATTTTGAATGTTCACAAAACAAAGAAATGATAGATGTTTGAGGTAATGGATATGCTAATTACCCTGATTGGATCATTACACATTGTACACTTGTATTGAAATATGACTTCATATTCCATAAATATGTACACTTATTACATGTCAACTAAAAATAAAGGGAAAAATTTTAAAAGAAAAAAACAAAAAAAGATACTTCTGCAAGTAGGTCTCATAAGTTGCATTAATCAGATTAAAATTTTTATACAGTCCAGATAAATGTGGATATACTTGAAAAACTTTTAAAAGAGACAATAAGGTGATGATAATATTCAACTGAATGTAGAATTTTATTTATTTGTGATAAAAGCTATCCACCAAAACAATGTACTATTTGCAGAGAAACACAAGCACAGAGCATGTTGAAGCCCTCTAGCTTCTTTTGTCAGTTAAAAAATAAAATACATACTTTCATAAACACACACACATAAACACATAACTATACAGATACTTTAAGTGAAATGCACAAATTCCAGTAATCTAATTATTAAGGTACATTTACTTCTCTTTAATGTTATAATGTATATACATTATGTTTTAAATTGACTTTTGGTATAAAATATTGTAAACATACAGAACTAGGGAGAATTTAAGATAATGAAAATCTGTATGACAACTGTCAAACTATATTTATATATATTATGTGTGTCATGTATTTTTAACCAAGTAAAAACTAAATACATAAGTAAAACTACCTCTGGATCCCTAACTACATTCCTTACCTCTTCCCTTAGAGATAAGTTTTCATAAATTTGCTAACATTATTTTGATGGATGTGTTAATACTTGTGCATTCATGTATAATATATAACATAATTTTGATGGTGTTTTAATTTTGTATATATGAAACTATTTTCACCTGTAGCTGTAACTGATTAATTTTAACTCCAGTACAGTACATTGACTTAATATCACTCTGTGTATTTATCCTTTGTCTTATCAATGGATATATAAACTGTTTCCAAGTATTCATAATTACAAACAGTACTGCAATCAATACTCATATATTTCTTTATTTGAGCACATGCCTGAGAGCTCTTTAGGATAAACCTAGCAGTGGAATTGCTATGTAGTACGGGATATTGCATAGTTTTGTCAGTTTAGACATTCACCAGTAACACATGTGTTACCTGATTTGCACAGTCTCATTTGGTATTGTCAGCCTTTTAATTTTTTCAATTTGATGTACGTGAAGTATTGTCTTACTTTAATTTGCATTTCCCTGATTATAAACTACTATAATGAGATGGGTCATCT
Source organism: Homo sapiens (assembly GCF_000001405.40). NCBI lineage: Eukaryota > Metazoa > Chordata > Mammalia > Primates > Hominidae > Homo > Homo sapiens. The sequence goes on along the minus strand of NC_000004.12, from coordinate 96,394,161 downwards.
TTTTATATTTTCATTATTATTCAGATTTTTTATTGGACTTTGTCTTAGATTTATTGACTTGAACTCACTCTTCTATATTAAAATACTCATCTAAGTCACTGGCCTAACATTGAAAGCCTAAGATAGAAATATATGACCAACTGCAATTTAAACCCAGGCATCCTGTAATTAAATACCTTGTTTACCATTTGTTCACATTTAATAAGTAGTATTGCCCATTGTATTAAAATAAATTTTCCATGCCAATTGTTAATAATATCATAATAAATAAATTCAATTTTAGCATGCCATAAAAAATAACAGAATTATTTAAAAATTTCCTAAGTAGATTCCAAAACTATACATTAAAGCAAAAAGTGTTAATGAGGCTGGGCGCAGTGGCTCACGCCTGTAATCCCAGCACTTTTGGAGGCCGAGGTGGGCGGATCACAAGGTCAGGAAATCGAGACCATCCCGGCTAAAATGGTGAAACCCCCTCTACTAAAAATACAAAAAATTAGCCGGGCGTGGTGGCGAGCGCCTGTAGTCCCAGCTACTCGGGAGGCTGAGGCAGGAGAATGGCGTGAGGCAGGAGAATGGCGTGAGCCAGGGAGGTGGAGCTTGCAGTGAGCTGAGATCGCGCCACTGCACTCCAGCCTGGGCGACAAAGCGAGACTCTGTCTCAAAAATAAAAATAAAATAAAATAAAGTGTTAATGAATCAAAATATGAGAAATAATTATCTAAAACATTCTCAAAGGAAAAAAGCACTTGGCTTTACTTGTCTGCTTATTCCCATGACCTTTTCTTCTCTATTAAAAAGAAAAAGGAAATTGCCAAGTGTTATTTAACTCTTGTTGAGACTTCTCCCTGGAGTTTAGAAAAATGGGTTATTGCATCATGTTTATTTTTTCTTTTCTATGTTTTACAAGCATTCTCTTGTACTTTGATTTTTTATTCTGTAATAACACATTAAAATAAATTACAAAGTACAGTCCAATATATTTTATTTTGCTCCCATTTCTTCTGAATGATCTCTGTTTAGATGCCTCCTCACTATATTGCTTCATGTATTTCACCCTGTATGTCTGATGTCTCTTCTGATGGCTAATTTTTTCAGGCTTGTTTATAGTTACCAGTTACACAAACAGACATTGTTTGAAGAGTTAAAAAGCACAGCTCTCTCCACAGGGGCAAAAATGAATGTGCTTAGAACTAGGTTTCATTTTAATTATCAAATCATCAATACTGATGAGACAGCAGGCTCTTTTTATGATTCTAAAGCCAACATTGTGTTTGCTATTGGTTTTATTGAACAACTGCATGATGATGCTACTGATGAAAGAGGATGCAGACTTCAGAGCTGCTAAAAAAATTTGCTTTAAAAATTGAAAAACGCAGAAATCTGGATACACGCAATAGTTTTGAGTCCTGAGAGGATTGATAGCTAATATTAGTGTTAAAATATTATCATTAACATACCTCTTGTAGGATTGAAACATAAATAATGGTTGGTAGACTCAATACACTTACTGGAAAGTTAAGGTTGCCTATAAGCCATTATACTACATTGTCTCTGAAGTTACATAAGTAGAACTTCAGTTCTAGCATAAGAAAATATAAACCTGAGCTGTGTGCTGTTGGTTGTTCCTTTAGGTACACACACACACACACATAATTCATACGTACATTTTTTTCTATAAAAAGGAAGTTCAATTGGATGCCATCACTGAGGCGCTGAGGTATAGAAGACTGGCTAGTTCAAAACTCAGTGCTAGAAAAGGATATAAATTTACATAGGAAATGTTACAAATTGGTTACATGATTCTGAAAGCTCTCACCCCCTTTGAGGGTATTTAGGGATAAGAATTTGGGAAAATATGGTTTGTCTAGAGAGAGCTGGGCTATGCTATGAGTCTCCACCCCTAATCTCAGGAATAGAGTTGCCCGCCCTTTCCCTCAGTCTAAAGAGGAAGACTTCAATGAGATCTTTCAGAGTTTGGGATCTATTCTCTGAAGCAGGGTGAATGCAATGACCCAGGGCTGATGGCAGAAGTAAAGTAGAGGGGACCACGTTGCTTGGCAAGTCCTTCCAGAGTTTGTTGGACATGTGGGTTTTTCCCATAACTTGAGTTGTGCTCACAGGGCGTAAGAGTGGAACGGAGAGGGAGAAAATAAAGGGAAAAAGGATGAGGAAAGAAGAAAGAGGGAGTAAAATGGGGAGAGAGAGAGAGAGCATGAGACTCTAAGATTTTGTCCAGTAAGTTTGCCATTTGGAATCTGAATAAGCCTCTTCAGAGACAAGGTGAAGTTTTCCTGGGATTTCTATTTGCATCAGAAGAAATAAATTTTGAGCTATGTGGTGGCCCTCCACTGTATCACCTTAGTAAAACTGGATGTATGTTTCCTAGAATTCCCTTCTCTGTATAGTATTAGGCTATGTTGGCCACAGGAGAAATCTGAAAGGCATCGGGAAGGGAAAAGTAAAGCTTAACCATTGAACTCTGAAGGTCAGTAAAGAGGATCAGACATTTTACAGCCATAGTTGCGGGTTTTCTGGCTCACCTAGTTAGCATGATGCCAAATCTGAACCCATAACTCTGCCACATCCCTTCAGATATTCTTTAGCTACTCCAAGTTCTTGGTCAAGTGTATGTGTGCAGCTCATGAGCCGAGTGCCATTTTTTCAACTGCAGGTGTGAACAGCAACAAAGTTGGAGGCAATGAGACTCTGACATGGGTCATTTTATTAGGCCATTCTCACACTGCTATAGAGAAATACCTGAGACTGGGTAATTTGTAAGAAAAGGAGTTTTATTGACTCACAGTTCTACAGGCTGTACAGGAAGCACAGTGGCATCTGCTTCTGGGGAGGCCTCAGGAAGCTTCTAATCATGGCAGAAGGCAAAAAGGGAGCAGGCATATTACATGGTGAAAGCAGGAGCAAGAGAGAGAGAGGCAGGAGGTGCCATACACTTTTAAACAACCAAATTTCACTAGAGCTCACTCACTACGGTGAGGACAACACCAAGAGCATGGTATTAAACCATTCAAAAGAAGCCACCCCCATGATGCAATCACCTCCCACAGGCCCCATCTCCAACACTGGGGATTACATTTCAACATGAGATTTCTGTGGGGACACATGTACAGACTATATCAGGCATAGTTTGTCCTGAAGGTCCCACTTTGTCCATGCTAATCCAGTTTGTCTCTGCTTCCATCTGTATCCAGGTTTCCTTTTAGACTGCCGGTCTGGCTGACCTACAGTATCTACAGGTTCCTCATCAGATGCAGAGTAACTGACTGCTCTACTAGCTCCTCTAATTGTGAGATGCCTATGATGAATCCTTATTCTGTATCTCCCTTAGCAGTTTTGCTTCTCTGATCAAACTCAGGCCCATATAAGTTATAAGAGGAAGAGGGTACATCACTAAAAATTAAGAGACCCTCAACTATGGGTAGAAGGATTAAAGGGAATCCCCAAAGAAACCATAAGAGTGCCCTGCGCTCAGGCAGTCAGCTTTCTCCTTTAGCCAAGCCCAGAAAACAGTTTGATTGGCATAATCCGTAACCACAGGAATCTAGGCTTTCCACCTACAACAGAGCCTGACTGGAGAAAAAGGCGTACCTGTCATTTTGCCTGAAATTGGATACTTTGATTTTTAATATACAGGCGTGGGCATCCATTGCACCGAAATAAGACTGATTTGTGACTTAAGGTGATAGCAGCTTGAATTAGCTAAGAGGAAGCAGAAAAAGCTATGGGCTGCCTAAATTTTTATCCCAGCTACAGGTGAAAAATGTGCCCCGCTAACAAAGTTAAATGTGCAGGAAGATAAGACATAAATGTGATTCTGATTGCATCTACTACTTGTGTTTATTCACTACATTCATTGCACCACTATTTTTGCTTTCTTTATTTCCCAGGTATGTGTTTGCTTACTTCACTGTTCACATGTTCAACTTCTTCCTCTTTTCCAGTATTTTGTTGTACTTCTGTGTTTTCTGCTTTGCACTAACATCATCACCTATTTGTAAATGTCTCTTTAAGCAATTCTGATTCTATATTCAGCACCTGTTTCATTTTTGTTCAGTGACAAAACAAGCAAAGTTGCAGCATCAAAGAAAAATTACTAGTCGAAAGGTTTGAAATTGTTTCCCCCTAGAATGAGAGGGAAATAACCACAATCGTTTTTGGAAAGCAGCAGGGTATAAGGCTGATTAGAAAAAGACACCTGTTTGCAATTTAGTCACTGCAGGTCCATGAAAATTGTGCTTATGCAATATTACTGAGGACTTTTAGAGAACACAGCCTGATAGAGGATGAGAATTTATTTCCTAGTGAAGACTAAATCCCAAGGGAAAATGAGCTAAGAAAATGCCTAAGGGTGGGGTTTTTTTTGATTCACAATAAACATTATTATCCAGAGCATCAACTAAAAGATAAAATGAATAACAATAGAAACAAATTCTTGATATGAAAATAACACTAAAGGCATGCAAAACAACCTCATCTTTGGCCTGCTTATTTGCTATATAGACTAGTAAGTCTGATGGGATTCCACTCCCACTTTTTGTGACTGGTTTATGGTGGCTAAATTTTCTCTTTCTTTCAAAGAAATTATTTTGAATAGAAATTAATTAGAGAAGAAGGCACAGAAAAATGTTATGTGCAAGTGGAAAATAACTTTGAGAGGAATTAATATTGGTTTTACTCCTATTGCTCATTTGGGCAGCCCAGTCCTGTCCTCTAGGGCAGTAATAATGACAGAGAAATAATCTAAGCCCATAGGTTGCTGTAGATACTCTAAGGCAAGGCAAACTTGAAAAGTTACCAGAAGAACAAGGTTCTCTGACTCAGTAAGACTCAATGAGCTGCCAGTGCTAATATTTGGCATAACATTGAATGCATAGTATTAGATAGATGAGGAAATCTATAAATAAAGGGAAAAGTGCTCATGTTCAGTAGCAGGTAAGAAAAGAGTAAGTTTAAGAGAAAATCAACAGGGCAGATACACTTTGCGGGTGAGGGAATCAAACAGAGAGTGAAAGAGGCAGAAATTGTAAACTATTCACAAAAAATTGAGTGGCTGTTATATACAGTGGAGGTTTATTCAAGAAAAGTTAAGTTTTCTATAAAGGCAGCAATGCCCATTCTCCACTCTTGTTACCCTGGCAACACAACTTCTTTCTTATAATAATGTCATTATAATAACAAAAAATGAACGAAAATGATATAAGAAGTGATTAGAGGGCAGGTCTAAATCCACCTTGGAAAATGCTCTGGAGAAGAATATGAAAGCTATTTGTTCCATAAAAGAGTGAAAGCATGAGGAAGTTCACTGAATTGAACGAAGATAAGTTGAGTGGATTACCTTCAAATGCTTGCACTGACATACATGCCACACAGTTCTATGCTTGAATTGAGGCAAATGGAAATCCTGCCTGCCTTGCCATGTATTTCAGAAGGCCACAGTCTAGTCTCTTTCCAGCAGTATTTCTGTGCATGGGGTGAGCTGTTCCTGGATCCACTGGGATATATGTAGCCAAAACCCATGCATCACCTTCCAGACCATGGTACTGGTTCCAGTTCCCTGGAATTCCCTACTTGAATCACTCCAAGTCTGTTTTCACGGCCTGCAAGTGTCCTCTTTAGGATAGATTACCCCATTGTTGTGGGTACTACTAACCCCAAGTGTTGGCCAGGGGGAGGTTGTCTGTGGGAACTAGACAGATTTAGAAGTCCAGGCTGCAGTGTTCAGCCCACAGTGTGGGATTGAGCCAGGGAGGAATGAGCAATGGGACACTGTGCAGTCCCATTAAAGCACTAAATTCTTTATTTCTAGGTAATTATGAGAAGTGGCTTTTTCAAAGTAAAAGATTAGACTGTATTGGCCAGGCGTGGTGGCTCACTCCTGTAATCCCAGAACTGTGGGAGGCCGAGGCGGGCAGATCGCGAGGTCAGGAGATTGAGACCATCCTGGCTAACATGGTGAAACCCCATCTCTACTAAAAATACAAAAAATTAGCTGGCTGTGGTGGCACACACCTGTAGTCCCAGCTACTCAGGAGGCTGAAGCAGGAGAATTGCTTGAACCCAGGAGGCAGAGGTTGCAGTGAGCCAAGATTATGCCACTGCACTCCAGCTTGGCAACAGAGTGAGACTCCGTCTCAAGAAAAAAAAAGAGATAAGTTAGTATTTAGCTCTTTGTTATTTTGAGTTTTATGTGATATTTAAATAGTTAGACATATGAAATATGAGCCACCATTTCTGCTATCATCCTGAACTTGCAAATGTTAAGCGTAGACCTGATGTTGCATGTCATAAATAATTACACTTTAGTTTGTGTTGATTATTTTTTTTTTCTGTAAGTGCTTTAAAGGCAAAGATGACAGTAACTGAAACACATTATGAATACTTTTGGAGTATGATTTGGATAATCTGTAAATACAGAATTAAAATGATTCATCTTAGTTTTATATATTCATGAAATTGCCAAAGGCCTTCTATGCATGCTGTCATCAAAGACCAAACTAAAGAAAAAAAGAGCAGACCAGAGACCAAGGGAGAATGTCTCTGCAAAGTTAGCAACATGGAATTTTTAACTATGTTAAAGAGTAAAGCACATGCGTTAGCATTATAATTCAGGCAAGGTACAGACTTTAAAAGTACATTATTTTCATACAACACACTTATCGTGTTGGTAACTTTCTTATTTTTTGACTAACTATCTACTCATATTTTATAAATATTGTAAATGGGATGAAATGGATGTGAAATGGATGTGAAAGGATTTTGAAATTCTATTATATGCATATAAACATTTTTATATATGTTAATTATAGAAGTAAAAATACATATCTATATATAATATACAGTGAAACTGTACTCTATAAATATTGACCTAATTATGGCAAACATTTAAGAAAATGCCTTTGTAATAAATATTGCACCATTACTATTGATTTTCAATAGATTATGTGGCAAATACTGTTAAGAAATGTCTAAGCACAAGCTGGAAGATCAAACCTATTTCTCCCTCACATTTGATTTTAGTATTTAGTATAAACTTTGCACAAGTTATTTGTGTATATGTGTAAGCTCTGACCTTTTAGAGTCAAGTTCCAAAGCATGGTGACATTCACCAAAAATAACATTGAGTAGCAGGTGACATACACTGTGCAGAAACCTGGAAATAAGCAATGAGCAAGAAGAGGAGATCCCTGGTTCAATGGAAATGGCAATCTAATCGGAGAAAGGTAATGAAGAAGCCCAGTGTGTCAGTAGACATGTATAATTTTACTTATTATAAGCACATTATATGAAAGGAAAATGGTTTAAATGGGCATATCATTAAGCAGTGGTTCTTAAGCTGTAGCCTGCATTAGAATCACCTGGAGGGACAGTTGAAACACAGATTACCAACCTAACTCCATGATTTTGCATATATAACTACTTCTCAAGTAATGTTGATGCTACAGGTCCCAGACCAAACTTTGAGAAGCACTGTCATGAGGAAATCTCACCTGAATTGAGAGATGGCAATTCTTACATTTGGATCCAGTACTCAAAACATCTTGACATCAGCAAGGGCTGAATAAATGTCTGTTGATTTAAATTATGTGCTTCCTGTAACATATCCTACTTACCTGGTATTTCATTCTTCTCATGACCATTTATTCAGTGGCAATACCAAATTTATTATGACAAACACAATCAATTGTGGCAGAAAACCAACAGGTGGAAGTTTTATGACCAGAGCTAAAACCTGAGCTTTTCTCTTTTGATAACTGTTGCTTATAAAATTATATTTTAAGTAATAGGAAGTCCAGGAAATTTTCTGTGAGAGAATGAAGAATGGCAATTACTGTAAGTAGAAGCAATAAGAAACTGCAAAAGAAAAAAAGGCAAATTATACAAAAAAGTAAGTTAAATAAAATGTTCTGCCAAGAAGAATTGGTATGCAACCTGTCATTTAGTTTAAACTGGGAAAATTATATAAATGCAATCATTAGAAGTTACATGCATTTGAAACATAGTATGTCAAAATTGCATAGCTTGTATGCAAGCTACACCAAAGTAGTTAAATGCTGGTTAATTTGATAAATCACATTCTTAATATTTTGTTCCAAGCTACTCTGTTTTTGTGATCTGAAGAATAGAATTATATATTTTAAAACAAACTGAAAAATTAAGCATTATACAAATATGATACTGTATTGAGGCTTTATGGCTGTTCTTACTATAAAATAATTATACAGATGGAAATACAGAATTAAAATTCAATGTGGTTATACTTTTATAATAGTATTTACTTTATAGATATTTTAATATTAATAAAATGAATGATTATAACAAAGACATTTTAGAGATAAAGTTGTACATGTGTTGATAAATTATTCATTATTTTCCCTCTAGGCTACAATTACACAATGCAAAAACACTATAATATTTGAGTAATGAAAGAAATGACCTTTGTATGCATATAAAAGAAGGTATTCCTATATGTTTCCCTCAGGCTATTAAGTCAAATCAAAATTCTTCAGACTCACGTTTTTGAGGATTCTGCCTGCATCTGTAAAAATCAAGTTGTTTATTTTTTAATCCTAAAAAGCAATTATAAACAAATGTGAGCTAATGCTTCTCAAACAAACTTTTGCCCAAAAGATGTTGGCTTAAGAATAAACTGAAAGTATTAAATGTGAGTTAGCTGGCAATTGATAGATTGATTTACCGTAATCACAATACGTAAATTAATGTCATTTGTGTCTGCACTGGATCACTGGATAATTTCTTTTTTTTTTTTTTTTTTTTTTTTTTTTGAGACGGGGTCTTGCCCTGTCGCCCAGGCTGGAGTGCAATGGCGTGGTCTCAGTTCACTGCAACCTCCGCCTCCCAGGTTCAAGTGATTCTCTTGCCTCAGACTCCCTAGTAGGTGGGATTATAGGCACACACCACCACACCCAGCTAATTTTGTGTATCTTTAGTAGAGATGGAGTTTTGCCATGTTGGCCAGGCTGGTCTCAAACTCCTGACCTCGTGATTCTCCCATCTCGGCCTCCCAAAGTGCTGAGATTACAGGAGTGAGCTACTGTGCCCAGCCTACACTGGATAATTAATTAGAAGCAAAATTGTAAATAATTTCTGTGATCTTCTATTTTCCATTGTTACATAAAATTATGGGGAAAAAATGCTTGAACTAATAAATGCAGACTGTGTGATTCTGACTTGATTTGTCTTTTCTTTTTTTTTTTTTTTTTTTTTTTTTGAGACGGAGTCTGGCTCTGTCGCCCAGGCTGGAGTGCAGTGGCGTGATCTCGGCTCACTGCAAGCTCCGCCTCCCGGGTTCACGCCATTCTCCTGCCTCAGCCTCCCGAGTAGCTGGGACTACAGGCGCCCACCACCGCGCCCGGCTAATTTTTTGTATTTTTTTAGTAGAGACGGGGTTTAACCTTGTTAGCCAGGATGGTCTCGATCTCCTGACCTCATGATCCACCCGCCTCGGCCTCCCAAAGTGCTGGGATTACAGGCGTGAGCCACCGCGCCTGGCTGATTTGTCTTTTCTATATAACTGTACCCGGGGTAGTTAGGGTGAAGAACAATTAGAATTCATAAGAGTTAAATTACGATTAATTTTAACATAAGTAAGTGAAACTACCTTGGCAAAAATCATAACTGAGGAAATTACTACAGTGAAAGATATCTGACCTAACGAATTCTATTTTGTCCGTTCCAGGGCATAAGCTGAACTAACTTTGGGAGGAACTTAGTTTATAGTTTAACTTTGAAACAAAGACGGTAACAGCCCTTTCCCAGAACAAACCCCCTTCCTTTCTGGGGACTAGACTGCCTTTACAGGACTAATAAATTAGCCACAAGTTTAGAAATTACAGTTTAGGAGCCAAGCACCCTCTGGCTGCAAGAGTCTGAAACTCTCCAAATTGCTCCTGGGAAAAAACATCCCTGTTGTGTAAGTGCTTGAGATATTTTGCAGATCTGTATTCAAGGAATCAGCTGGCACCACCCAGATCAATAAACTGGCTCATCTGTCTTGTGGCCCCCACCCAGGAACTGACTCAGCTTCAGCTCCTTATGATTTTATCTCTGAGGCAGCCAATCAGTACTCCCAACTCACTGGCCCCCTACCCACCAAATTATCCTTAAAAACTCTGATCCCTGTATTCTCGGGGAGACTGATTTGAGTACTAATAAAACTCTGGTCTCCCATACAGTCGGCTCTGTGTGAATTAAACTCTTTCTCTATTGCAATTCCCCTGTCTTGATAAATTGCCTCTGTCTATGCAGAGAGCAAGGAGAACCCATTGGGCAGTTACATAAGTGTCCTGAAAAAAGAGCAGAACATACCCAAATCATGTAAATGCTGGTTAGAAGACTCAGCTACACTGCCATCTCCAGAAAATTCCTTCTCCACCCAATCTGCTGGGGGTGGAGTGCATTAAATGTCTCTCCATCATTCATTAGTACCCAGTCCTTGACTCTGCTGTAGTCTAGTTTACTATATGTTATTGATAATATTCATTTACTTGTCTGTCTACTCATTTGTACTGTGAACTCCTCAGAGACAATGAATGTGTCTTACTCACTTTTGTAACCCAACACTCAGCACAGTGCCTGGAAAAAAGTAAGTGTCATCATATTTTTGTTCAGTGAATAAATGAGGAACCTTAGTTTGTATTCACTTCCTAATTTTTAAAAAATGGCAGTTGACAAAAATATACACTAAAAAGTTAAAAAGTGATCATTTTGAAAGAAAAAATATTTGAATGTTAGCAAGAAAAAAATATATAAATTTTAGCAATTGCTAATTCTAGGTTAATGTTCAATTATTGGCATCTTACTGGCTACTTTAAATAAGAGAATGCTATTGGTAAGAATGAATCCTATGATAAATAAATGCAATTACTAATTTGAAGAGAAATATGGTTAAAGTTAGTGCCCAGAAAATATAACAAAAAAACTCTGAAAATATTGTTAGTTCTAGGTAAAAATTGAGCTCTAAGATTGTCAGAAACTAAAGAGAGAAATATAATCAATTTTAATATTCAAAGTAATCATAAAAATGACATAATTTTTCTGATTTTCCAAAACTAAAATTCTAGAGGATTTTCCTTGATGTCTCCTTAAGGGAACACTGTGCTATAGGGCAGGGGTCCCCAACCACTGGGCCGCAGACTGGTACCAGTCTGTGGCCTAATAGGAACCAGGCCACACAACAGGGAGTGAGCAAGAGGTGAGCCACTGGCATTACTGCCTGAGCTCCACCTCCTGTCAGATCAGCGGCGGTGTTAGATTCTCTCAGAAACCTGAACCCTATTGTGAGCTGCGCTTGCAAGGTATCATCTGGGTTGTACATTCCTTATGAGAATCTACCTAATGCCTGATAATCTGAGGTGGAACAGTTTCATCCCAAAACCATCCCATCCCTTCCCCCAGATCTGTGGAAAAATTATCTTCCTGTCAACCAGTCCCTGATACCAAAAAGGGTGGGGACTACTGATGTAGAAGGCAGTATGCTTTACAAATCCATATAATGATTATCAAGGCAAATTTAATATAATAGGTTCTACAGCCTTCCTCAATCCAAGTTGAATATATGATGCCATAGAAAATTCCAATAAAAGCAACTGTTCAAGATGTAAAACATGGAAGTCCAAATGCAGTTCCCAGTCTGGCTTGCTACAAGAATAATGCTCTCAACATCAAGGGTGATATATGATTCAGCACATCCTCTAAGAGTAATACCATTAATGGCAATCATAGTTTTTGTTTGTTCATTTTTATTTTTCTTAAAATTGAGGAAAAAAAGTATCATGTTATAAGACTTGATAGTCATTTTGTTGATTAAAGGTAGGCCCACATGTGTTGCAGGAAGTCAGGGACCCCAAACAGAGGGACTGGCTGAAGCCATGGCAGAAGAACATGGATTGTGAAGATTTCATGGACATTTATTAGTTCCCCAAATTAATCCTTTTATAATTTCTTATGCCTGTCTTTACTGCAATCTCTAAACATAAATTGTAAAGATTTCATGGACACTTATCACTTCCCCAATCAATACCCTTGTGATTTCCTATGCCTGTCTTTACTTTAATCTCTTAATCCTGTCAGCTGAGGAGGATGCATGTCACCTCAGGACCCTGTAATAATTGCATTAACTGCACAAATTGTACAGCATGTGTGTTTGAGTAATATGAAGTCTGGGCACCTTGAAAAAAGAACAGGATAACAGCAATTGTTCAGGGAATAAGAGAGATAACCTTAAACTCTGACCACCGGTGATCTGGGTGGAACAGAGCCATATTTCTCTTCTTTCAAAAGCAAATGGGAGAAATATCGCGGAATTCGTTTTCTCAGCAAGAAACATCTCTGAGAAAGAGAATGCGCGCCTGGGGGTAGGCCTATGAATGGCCCCCCTGGGCATAGCCGTCTCTTATGGTAGAGACTGCAGGGGTGAAATAGACCTCAGTCTCCCACAGGGCTCCCAGGCTTATTAGGAAGAGGAAATTCCCGCCTAATAAATTTTGGTCAGACCAGTTGATCTCAAAAACCCTGTCTCCTGATAAGATGTTATCAATGACAATGGTGCCCGAAACTTCATTAGCAATTTTAATTTTGCATCCGTCCTGTGGTCCTGTGATCTCACCCTGCCTCCACTTGCCTTGTGATATTCTATTACCTTGTAAAGTACTTGATGTCTGTGACCCACACCTATTTGCACACTCCCTCCCCTTTTGAAAATCCCTAATAAAAACTTGCTAGTTTTTGTGGCTTGTGGGGCATCACAGAACCTACTGACATGTGATGTCTCCCCTGGATGCCCAGCTTTAAAATTTCTCTCTTTTGTACTCTGTCCCTTTATTTCTCAAGCTGGCCAACGCTTAAGGAAAATAGAAAAGAACTTACGTGAATATCGGGGCCAATTCCCCGATACACATGCTTTAAAAATCAGCTACAGATTGCTGATATTTGATAAGAAAATTAGTTTTCAAAACAAGAAATTTTGTCTTAAGAAGTGGCGACATCATCTTTGAATGAAGATAGCAGGAGAAAGTGTTCAGGGCCTGATATTTCCTTGGCAAATAATTCACGTCTGCTCCAACATAAAAAGAAATATATCATTGAGGCCTGGAAGATTTATATCATCCTGGATAGCCTCAATAATTGTAGCCTCAACCATTTTCATAGCAAATATTATCAATCATTCTCCAGGGCCTATAAAACATAGCATTTTATGCAATTTGACTTCCTAGTGAACCAGTAAAAGCTAAATTAGTTGTAAAATATACCCTGAGGTAACTAAACATGTTAGCATGCTGGATTCGGTTGTTGGAAATAAGCCAATTAGACATTGGAGAACATGTACCAAAAACTGATTTGAGTTTTATAGTTGATCCTGAGTTATCCCGTCAAACAACAATGTACAGCTACTAGACGACAACAACAATAAAGTCATGTCATCAACATGTTGCAGGATATGTATCTTTTGCTTTTCCATAGTAATAGTACATATTCATTCAGTTCATGTAAGAGCTGTGGTTATTAATCCAAAGTTAAAGAGAAAGAATGTCAAAAATTATGATTTTTGAGAAACTGGGTTTTGGTGTGTTTTTCAACGTCATATCACCAGCAGTTTCATAGGTAATAAAATTATGTATCTTTATATTACATTAATCTACATTGTTTACATTATAATTAAACAGAATTTAATACACTGCTTGAAAATTAAGTTTATACATGCAATGTTATAATGGTATAAATCACTTGAAGTCTATAATTTTAGACAAAAGTTAGTATAATCTATTTTGCTATTGTTCAACCATCCTATTCTTAGTGGATGTTTATATTTTGTCATGTGTCAGCAGAAAAAAATGGCAGAAATTTTCCTATGATTGACTATGAGAAGTAATACTAGCAAAGTGCAATATCTAAGTTGTACTTTTATCATTGTAGAAGAAAAAATAATGTAATCTTAGTATTGAATTATTTCAATAGTACAGAATGAGACAATTTTGCTAGATATTCACTTTCTTATTACTCCTTTTGATAATTTAGAGCACATGACATTCAGCAAAAAGGAATAAAAAAGTCTAGACTGACATCATTTTCTGCAATAAACTTAACAAATTGTACCAGTTGCTGCATATTATTCCTCATAAAAGAATATTTGGAGAGCTGAAGTTGTATAATACAGGCATAGATTACTCATGTTGATGATTTAGGAAACTCTCGAAATAGCTCATCATTTTCTAATCCTTTATACATTAATCCTGGACAGCTATATATAACCGACGAGTTTTGCTTAAGAACATTGGTACCAAGACAGTTAGTACTGAATAACATCCTGACTGGACCACATTCCAGACTTAGTAGGATGAGGGGAAGTAAGTAAATGGAAAACAGCATCTGCTCTGTCTCTTAAATGAAGCTGGTGTAACAGAGGTTTTTATAAAGAATGATAACATCACAGAAGCATTTAAACATAATTGGATTACTCTTGGTACAATTACCCTTATAAATGTGCTTTGAATCTTCCTATGACCTTCTACATCTAATTGGCAAAATTTAGTAAGAGGATAGAAAAGCAATAAATACAGGATGTTCATTTCAGTGTTTCAGCAGCATAATTGCTACTTATCAATAATAAGTACTGCTTTTCATCTTTTTGGACTTCATTTTTGAGTTCCTAAAATATTCTTATAATATTTATAATCTTTATGCATATATTCACACACATATATGAATAATATGTATTTCATTTGAATTTGTATCATTGAATAACAAATTAAATTACTTAGTACTTAAAGAAATAAGTATTATTTCTGTATCATTTGTCTCTAAAACCTTTAGTGCTTTTCATTAAATTAATGTAGAGATATTCTAAGATTCTGTTGTTAAGCTATTTAGGAGACCTAGTAGTAGAGCATGGCAGGAAATAAATACATCAATAAGGACTTTTAAGGTTAGGTGTTCCATCTGTTTTACTAATATCCTGTCTTTCCTCGGAATGGTGTTGATGCCTAGCACACATACGTTTCATATAAAAATCGAGATTAGAAAGACTTAGTTGAATTATAATGTCAAATACAGCCACGTACTGCATAATGACATTTCAGTCAAAAAGACAGACCACATATATGACAGGGGTCCCTTAATATTACAATGGAGCTGAAAATTCCTATCGCGTAGTGATTTTATAGCTGTCATAACGTCATAGTGCAATTCATTACTCACGTATTTGTGACGATGCTGGTATAAACAAACCTACAGAACTGCCAGCCATATAAAAGTATAGCACATTCAATTACATACAATACCTAATAATTGATAATGGTGATAAAGGACTATGTTACTAGTTTATGTATTTACTATACTATACATTTTATTGTTATTTTAGAATGTTTTCCTTCTACTTATTTTTTTAAAAAGTTAACTGCAAAACAGCCTCAGGCAGGTCTTGCAGGAGATATTCCAGAAGAAGGCATTGTTATCATAGTAGATGATACCTCCATGTGTATAATTGCCTCTGAAGACCAACAGTGGGATAAGATGTGAAAGTGAAAGACAGTGATTTGATGATCTTGACCCAGTGTAACCCTAGGCTAACATGTGTGTTTGAGTCTTAGATTTTAACAAGAAAATTTAACAAGTATAATCAAATGAAAAAAATTAAAAATAGAAAAATGTTTATAGAATACACATATAAAGAAAGAATTTTTTGTATTACTGCAGAATGTGTTTGTGTTTTAAGCTAAGTGTTATTACAGAACAGTCAGAAAGTTAAAAAAATTAAAAGTTTATGAAGTATAAAAGTTACAGTAAACAAAGGTTAATTTATTATGGAAGAAAAAAATCCTTTTTTATAGATCCAGGATAGCCTAAGTGTACAAGTGTCTACAAAGTGTACAGTAGTTTTCAGTAATCTCCTAGGTCTTTACGTTCACCCACTGACTCACTTAGAACAACCTCAAGTCCTACAAGCTCCATTCATGGTAAGTGCTCTATATAGGTGTACCATTTAAACATCTTTTATACTATATTTTTACTGTGACTTTTCTATGTTTAGATACATAAATACCATTGTGTTATAATTGCCTCCAATATTCAATGGAGTAAAATGCTGTACAAATTTGTAACCTAGGAGCAATAGGCTAGGTGTACAGTAGCTTATACCATCTAGGTTTGTGTAAGTACACACGAAATCACCGAAGGACACATTTCTCAGAAATGTATCCTCATTGTTAAGCAATACATGACTGTATTAGAGATTCTTATTCATGCGCAAACTCAACAAGTAATAGCAAAGTTCATCAAATAGTCAAAAAGTTCTTTGAATGTTATACTTAAATTAAAATTTAGAATATGATTGATTTGGCAAAATGTATGCCCATTTTTTAGTTTATTTTTTCAAATAAATAAAATTGCTCTATTTAGTAAAAATTACTCTGGGGACCAAAAAAAATCATCTGTGTAAATTGTTTGGTAAAGGTAGTTTTAATATTTGTTTGTTTGTTTGTTTTTTGAGACAGAGTCTCACACTGTCACCCAGGCTGGAGTGCAATGGCACGATCTCAGCTCACTACAACCTCTGCCTCCCAGATTCAAGCGATTCTCTTGCCTCAGCCTCCCGAGTAGCTGGGACTACAGGCGCCCACCACCATACCCAGCTAATTTTTTTTATTTTTAATAGAGACGGGGTTTCACTATGTTTGCCAGGCTGGTCTTGAACTCCTGACCTCGTGATCAGCCCACCTCGGCCTCTGTATTCTGGAAAAAAGTATTTTAGGTTCATATTCAACGAGAACAAGAACAATTAATACTGTACATCCCTGCTAAAGTATATTATTCTACTTTTGCTATTTTGATGCTTCTAGGAACTTTCTTTAACATTTGAAGTTATCTGATACTTAATAATCCTCTTTATGGAAATTCTACATGTCTTTTTTATTCACAATTTTATCTTTATATACAGCGCTTTCAGCACTTACACAGAACATGCTCATGCAACAAAGAAGTTGATGCCATTACCACTATTAAAGGAAATATGAATTTCAGGCACAGTTACAATGTCAATTACAGGCATGGTTAGAAACGGAATTTAAATAGAAAACTGGGGATGGATATAAATAAATGGCCATTCATTCTTTGTGTAATTTTCTACACAAAAACAATAACAGACTCTATATGAAAACTATTGTGCTGAACTATAGATCTATTTTTTTTCTCCTTATATGTTAAAACATCCACATGGTTTTCTATCCTAGGCTTTGAAACAGTGACCACTGGGAAATGTGATATCTTAGCTGACAAATTATTAACATAGAGGATCTTACCGTGTTGTTGTGAATGAAATAATATTACATATTGTATAACTTTATAGCAGTAACATTATACATATAACAAAAGGTTCACTTGTAGAAAACAGGGATATAGCGATTTTTCAGATATAGTGAAGCAGAAATTTTTTCAATGTACTGGAATATGCACATTTGAATTCTGTCTGAGTGAGCCTTCACATATAGTCAAGTTTTCTGCCAAGAACAAAAAAGTATTTGTAATACATGTAATACATGTAAACATGGCTATCCAATGTTTTAAAAACGATCTGATACATTTTTTACAAAAGAAAAACTCAGTTTTCTTACTTATTCAGGCATGGACAAGATGAACTACTTTGAAATTTGTCATCATTGGACTATTATCTGCTGAGCTCATTATTTCTATGAGCTTTACTTCTTTACAAAATGGCAGCAATACTAACACTAAAGCACTGTTATAAAAGCAATTAACATATATGATTTAGAAAAGCTATTAAAATGTTTTTAAGCAATATTTATTTTGAATCCATTAAATAGGTCAGAAGGTGCCACAAACAAAACTGATTTCAGGAAAAACTACCTTAATTAAAAAAAAGGAAGGGAGAAAGGACAGTGTAGAGAAAAAATAACACGAAGTCCCACACCGTATCTTTCTATGTAACAAGTCAATATGGCATCAGCATTGCATTACAATATAAAAAGTATAGAAATAAATATTAGAGAATAGGGATTCCATATTATCTTAAAATAACTTCTAAGAATTGATATGGGCCATTTTCTCCTTGTTTTACAGGCAAATATTAAGTTTATCTATGTTTTTTAAATATTATACACCACATTCCATAAACCCAAAAATACTTGTTTTTTAATATATGAGAAGTAATTAAAACAACATAATACATTCAGAGGCAGCATGTTACTAAGAAAGTATCATTGGAAAAGCAGATATTTTCTTTGAAAATCGTTTATGTAACTGCTTTAGCAAGAGAGCTTGTATCTGTCAGGACAATCTAGAATATGCTGATAAAAAACAACCTAAAAATCTCAACAAAGGTTTATTTCACGTCCCATGTCTATCAGGGAAAACTGGGGCCCTGCTGCATTGCTGTTCTCAGTCTTGGAAACAGACTGACAGACTATCCACTAACTAAAACTGTCACTGTGGCAGAGAGAAAGAGAAGATAGTGAATTTATACTGTCCATAAAGCTCCACCAGGAAGTGATACACACTGGCAAAGGCAAGTCACATGGTGACATCTCACTTCAATACCACTGGGCGTTGCAACTTAACAACTATTTGGGAAGAGAGGCAGAAATACTTGGTGTATAATGTTGATGACTAACACAAGAGGATTAAGAAATCATACTTGAGCGGCAAAATGTACTGCCATACCCATATGGTTAGTAGATTATAGGCTATATTATGTTACTATATACTGTAGGCTTAAGCAAAAAAGCGTACTGCTAGTTTGATACTATTTATAATTTATCATTGAAAAGTATTTGGGAAGGATCACAAAATAAGTCAAGACAGACTAAGTAACAGTATTAAAATATTTCTTTAACAACAAAGACTTATTTTTTACTTAGTTTTCAATTAATGAACAAGGTGTTTTGCTCATCATAGTCACTCAGGTGCATTGACTGATGGAATCTCCATTACCTTGTATGTCTATCTGAATATCCATCTTTTCGGCTTGCCTCTTTGAGGGAAGAGAACATGGAACCTCACTTATTGAATCGTAAAAACTTCTGTCTCTGAGTGATAATTCTGATACCCCAGATAATAAATGCCCCATGTCTTGGTAAGTCTTGGCTACCTCCATTAGAACTTTGACTAGTGTAGGCTAAAGTCCCAGTAGTTGCCTTTGGAACAGTTTCACACATCTTACTCCCGTTATGATCATAGTCAAGTTAGAAACTAAAGGTCTTCTATACATGAACTACTGCTAAGTCAGATATTCCTTATCCAGTTATATTTTTGTCTTGAATGTAAACCTTTATATTGATCTATAGTCAATTGTTTTTGTTCGTTTCAACTAATTTTTCTAAGCAATTGAAAATTTTCTGTATTTGAATTCTGTCATCTTGCATATGTATTATATATTCATGTATTAGTTTTCTATTGTGGCTATAACAAATTCTTATACACTTAATGGCTTAAAATAAGTATTATATGTATTATATGTTCCTGTATTAGTTTTCTATTGTGGCTATAACAAATTCTTATACACTTAATGGCTTAAAATAAGTATTATATGTATTATATATTCCTGTATTAGTTTTCTATTGTGGCTATAACAAATTCTTATACACTTAATGGCTTAAAATAAGTATTATATGAATTATATATTCCTGTATTAGTTTTCTATTGCGGCTATAACAAATTCTTATATACTTAATGGCTTAAAATAAGTATTATATGTATTATATATTCCTGTATTAGTTTTCTATTGTGGCTATAACAAATTCTTATACACTAAATGGCTTAAAATAACAGCAAAAAATATTTCACAGTTCTGTAGGTTAGACGTCAGACATGGATCTAACTGAGGTAAAATCAAGGTGTCTTTAGGGCTGTGTTCTTTCCTAGAGTTTCTAGAGGAGAACCTTTATTTGCATTTTCCAGAAAGAAAATGGCTTCTAGAAGCCATCCACATTCCTTTATTCGTACACTCTTTCATCTTCAAAGCCAGCAACATTGCATCTCCCAGACTTTTCTGCTGTCTCATCTCTCTGACCATAGCTGGAAAAGGCTCTGTTGTTATCAACTCAACTGATTAAAATGAATCCAGTAGGATTTATCTTATAAAATTTCCCTAACCTTAACGTCCTTAAACATAATCTTTTTCTCATGTAACATAACATATCCAGGGTTCCAGAATTTAAAATGGAGATATTTTGGAGAACCCATTATTCTATGTAATACAATTCCTTATTAATTCACAATTATGAATGAATGAATTTAATTATATAAGCCAGATAATAATCAATTTCTGAGGCAATATCATGTGTCTATATAAGTGCTAGACAAGTTTCTAGAATTACAGTCATCAGTTGAAATCGGCTCCCATTATAGGCGTGTAGCAGCGACAGCTACAACTCTATTAAAAAACTGTTACAGTGGCATAATGAAAATGTATAACGCATATTTATTGCTCATAGTTTGGTGAACAAAATAGATGTAGTCTCCACCTTCTTAGAGTTTATCATGCATGAAAGAGATAAACATTAAACAAACATTTCAAAACTTACAAACCTGTAAATATAATATGAAGGAAAATGCAGAGGGCCATGAAAGTGAATAACAGGATGGGATCTGACTTAGTTTGGGTGGTTAGAAAATGTTCTCTGCTAAAGATGCCTTTAAACTGAAAGCAAAATATGAATAATTAGTTAGGGAAGGGAAGGTGGGGTGCTGAGGAGTATTCCACATAAATAAATAGGCTGAAGTAGAGCATTGAGTGAGAATGAGCTCAGTACTTTGTGGAACTTAAAAAATACCAGCTGGGTTGAATTGTGGTGAATCAAGAAGGCAGGTGGGAATGCATAAACCTAGGAAGTCACTAGTGGATTAGCAGCCTTGGAGAACAGGTTAATCATAGCCAAAGTAAGAAGTCAAATGAGAAATTTAGTTTTTTCATGTTAGTAAAGGAAAGGCATATGTGGATGATCTTAGAGAAGGATTGACTTTGGAGTATTTATCAGACACACAAGGAAAACAATGACATTCTAGACAGAATAAATAACATGCATAGAGGCAAAGACGCAAGAAACAGCAATTTTGTGCCATGGTAAAAATTTTATGAGCATGCTTTCTCGGTTGTAATTCATCTCTTCAATAAAAAGAAATGGAACATCAAAAAAATGAGTGAAGAGGCTGCATTACTATACTAGAGAAACCTGTATAAATTGACATTAATCCATTAATCTCCCTTCTTCATGTAAACTTATTTATCTATAATTGAATTTACTGAACTGAGCAGGAAATTTCAGAAAATAAGAGCCCCAAGTTTGAACTTTTGTTTTGCTAACATATTTAATCAACATATTTAATATCTTCGGATGCATTTTATAATTGTGTACAGTCTTACATATCTCTTGTGGTGATACTATATGTGGAATATTACCAATATGCAGTCCACGTTTACCTTTTTTGTTTTTGAACCTCTATAAACATTTATATTATATATGAAAAATACTGTGCATTTTTGAAAAATACAAAAAAAAAATCCAGTTCTTAATTTTACGAGTTCATAAGGAGTTAACCCTTAGATAAAAGAAACTACAAGGTTTAGATCAGGAATATTTTATAATTGGCTTAAACTATTATTGCAATCCATAATAATAAAAGGTTAAATATTATTAAAATTTTAACAGAGGTACTGGCCTCAGACAATGGGAAGAATTTGGGGTTTTTGAGGAAAGGGTGTTAGCGAAAATAAAGACCTAAAAGTGTAAAGGGATGGTCGTGAGTCTTCCACCGTGGCTGGAACACCAGGAGACTCTCATATTTATACAATTCATGAGGAGAGCTGGCTTCTAAATTTGCAGCCTTGCTCATAAAAATGACACGAATCAATTTACTCCCTCTCAGGAACATGAAAAACTAAGAAAACATGCTATTTGGTGATGAAGAACAGACCCCCAAATCATATTATGAAAGGCAGATATAGGGACATAATAAGGTATAAAAGAATGTTAACAGAGAGAATGCAAAAAGAAGTGGTAGTAGAAGAAAACGTGGCTCTGAGATGTGGAGAAAATGGCTCAAATTCTTGATCTGCTAGAACCTATTTTCATTCACTTGAGAATTATCTATTTACTGTTTCAACATATAGGAGATCCTTGAGATCTTTGTATTTTTTCAACCCTTCTACTTTTATCTAAGATAGTTTGAATGGATTACTCTTGCAAGCAAACAAAAGCCTTGAATAGAACCAAAAAACTTTACTTAATGACATTTTCTCTTACTTCAAAAATTTGTCTTCATTTTTGTTTAGTTTAAGAATGTTGCACAATTATTCACCCAGCTTTGCCCTCTCAACCTGCCATGGTGGCAGACCAAAGGACAGGGACTTCTGAGAGTTCCACGGCCCTGCCTATGACTTGGGAAATCATACTTTCTAGTTAACAAAGGTCAAGCATAAATCCCAAGGCCACCACTGCAGCTGGCTTCCTCCTGCAAGCTTCATCTACTGGCTGGGAAGTCTACCTGCACAGTGCATTACAACATCTGCTGACACAATTGCCAGCACTCTTGAAAGAGAAAAGCTTTGTACAACCTCAGCTACTACAATTGCCTATAACACCCCAGCTTCTCAGGAGGCCTTGAGCCCATTCACCCACCTAGTACATTACAATTACAGTAGACCTTTGAGAAAGCCATCATTAAGGCTATTTATAACTAAGGAAGTCTCACAGAGTGACAGACTCTATGCCACTCTCCTCTAAGGGCTGGTGCTTGCACCTGCCATAGGAGTACAAGAGGGCAGGCTAGCCTAATCCAGTTCTACCCAGCTTTGCCCCCATGTGCAGTTGAAAGTGGAACCAGTTCTCTGCAGACAAGTCCGTGGCCTGAGGCATCATAGAACTGCATGTAAACTAAGATCAACCATATACCATACTACTACCACCTTAGTCAACTCTTACCTGCAGGGACCACCTACTGGCCTGGAGGTTGAAATGCACAACCCAATAAAAAATCCGCTGACACAAATGCACAGTGCTTAGGAGCAAGATAAGTTTCTTAAGACCACCACCTCCCCATTTCTGTAGGAGGCGGAGAGCCTACTCACACACCCAGAATGCCACTACTACAGTTAGCATTTGAGAAAACCACAAACTTAGGCTATCTATAACCAAGAAATTCATACAAAGTTTTGGCTTCCTGAAAGCACCCAGAAACAAAGCTAAATAACCTGACTTAACACATGTTACTGTTACACCCTTAAGAAGTAAAAAACTCTCATCTAGACAAAAGTAGATTAAAACATAAGAATGACAGTTCCACCAGGTAAGAGGGAACCAGCATAACAATTTCAGCAGTATGAGTAAATAGGGTGACTCGAAGAATCACACGACCTCTCTAGCAATGGATCCTAACCTAAATGAAAATCCTGAAATGCTAGATAGATAGTTCAAAATATGGATTGTTAGAAAGCTCAATGAGATCCAAGATAAATCTGAAAGCCAATGCAAAGAAATCAGAATATCAATTCAAGATTCAGATTAGAAATGTACCAAAGAGAGAGTTATTTTAAAGAAAAACCAAACAGAATTTCTGGAAATGAAAAAATTACAGGAGTAATTACAAAATACAATTGAAAGCTTCAAGAATTGACTAGACCAAGCAGAAGAAAGAATCTCAGAATATGAAGACAGTCTCTTGAATTAATCTCGTGAAATAAAAGCAAAGAAAAAAGAATTTTAAACATCAGAAAGGCCTTCTCATAGCAGGAGACTATGTGAAATGTCTGAACCTATGAGTTATAGGTATTCCTGAGGTAGAAAAAAAAGAAAAAGTCTGGAAAAACTATTTGAGAAAACAGATAAGGAAAATTCCCCTAGTCTAGCAAAAGAGCTAGACATACAGATACAAGAGGCTCAAAGACTTCTGAAAAATACATTGCAAGAAGGATCTCATCAAGACAGTCATCATACTGTCTGAGGTCAACATAAAGGAAAAAAATCTTAAAATCAGCACCGTGAAAGCATCTAATTATCTATAAAATATTCCCATCAGATTAACATGGGCTTCTCAGCAGAAATTTTACAAGCCTGAAGAGATTGAGAAATTGTTTTCAAAGTGCTTAAGGAAAAAGAAACAAAACAAAACCTGTCAAACCCAAATTTTGTATCCTGTCAGAATAAGCTTCATAAATGAAGGGGAAAGAAAACTTTTCTCAGGTAAGCAAATGCTGACGGAATTTGTCAGCACTAGACTGACCCTACAAGAATTGCTCAAGGGAATTCTAAACATGGAAATGAAAAGTCGATACTTACCAACACAAATACACACATACATATAAAACTAACAGGCAGTATAAGGCAATTAAACAAATGAGACTACAAAGCAGCTAGATAACAATTAACATTAAGACAGAAACAAAACCTCACATATCAATCTTAACCTTGAATGTAAATTGATTAAATGCCCCACTTAAAACATGTAGACTGGCAGAATGGATTAAAACAAACAAACAAACAAGAAAACACAACATGATCCAACCAGATGATGCTTATGAGAAATCTACCTAAATGGTAAAGACACTTACAGACTGCAGATACAGGGATGGAAAAAAATATTCCATGCCAATGAAAACCAAAAGTGAGCAGGGCTAGATATATTTGTGTCAGATAAAACAAATTTTAAATCAATAACTGTAAAAAAAGACAAAGAAGGTCACTATATAATGATAAAGGATCAATTCAAAAAGAATATATACCTGTTTTAGATAAAACAGACTTCAGTAGCAGTAAAAAAAAAGACAAAGAACGTCACTATATAATGGTAAAAGAATCAGTTCAACAAGAAGATATATTTTTATCTGATAAAAACAGATTTCTAATCAATAAAAGTAAAAAAAGACAAAGAAGGTTACTGTGTAATGATAAACGGATCAATTCAACAAGGTATAAAAATCTTGAATTTGCACACAACAAGAACTGGTACCACTGTTCTAACAAGTAGAGGATAAAGGAATCCTACTTAATTCATTCTAGGAAACCAGCATCACCCCAGTATTAAGTCCAGGCAAGAACAAAACAAAAAAAAGAAAAGTACAGACCAATGTCCCTGATGAACATAGATTCAAATATCCTCAAGAAAATACTGACAAAACTAATCTAACAGCACACTGGAAAGTTACTACACCCCAATCAAGTAGATTTTATTCTGGGGATGCAAGGATGTTTCAATATACACAACTCAATAAACATGGTTCATTACATAAGCAGAATTAAAAACAAAAATCATATGATCATCTCAATAAATATAGAAAAAGCATTTGATAAAATTCAGCATCTCTTCATGATAAAACCCCCCAACAAGTTAACTAGTCATAGAAGGAACATACATGAATATAACAAAAGCCATATAAGACAAACTCATAGCCAACATCACACCGAACAGAGAAAAGTTGAAAGCTTTTTTTCTAAGAACTAGAAAAAGACAAAGATGCCCACTTTCAACACTCCTACTCAACAGAGTACTGTAAGTCCCGGCCAGAAGAATCAGGCAAGAAAAAGAAAGAAATAGCACCAAATTAGAAAGGAGAAAATTAAATTATGTCTGTTTGCTGATGATATAATTTTGTACCTAGAAGTTCCTAAAAAGTCCTCCAAAAGACTCGTAGATTTAATAAATGAATTAATTAAGTTTCAGGATAAAAAAATCAACATACACTATTAAATGCATCTTACACCAGTCATAATGGTTATTATTAAAAAGTCAAAATATAACAAATGTTGGCATGGATGTGGAGAAAAGGGAACACTTGTTCACTGTTGGTGGGAATGGAAATTAGTACAACCTTTATGGTAAACAGAATGGCAATCTTTCTAAGAACTAAAAATGGAACTAACATTTGACCAAGCAATCCCACCACGGGGTATCTATCCAAAAGAAATAAAATTATGTCAAAATATATCTACACTCATATGTTTCATCGCAACACTATTCACAACAGCAAAGTCATAAAATCAACCTAAGTGTCCATGAATGGAAGACTGAATAAAGAAAATGTGGTATTTATAATGGAATACAACTTAGTCATAAAAAGAGCATGAGATCATGTCTTTTTGCAGCAACATTGATGGTAGTCACTATCTTAATTGAAACAACTCAGAAAGAGAGTCAAGTAATGCATCTTCTCACTTGTAAGTGGGAGCTAAATGTGTACATATGGACAGAGGGAGCGGGAAAATAGACATTGGAGAATCAAAGGTGGGAAAGTGGGAGGAAGTTGAGGGATGAGAAATTACCTAATAGGCACAATGTACACTATTCAGGTAATGGTTACACAAAAAACCCAGACTCCCATCACTACCCAAAATATATATGTAACAAAGCAGCACTTATACCCCCAAATCTATTAAAAAAAAAAAAAACCATAAGAAAGCCAGGCACAGTGGCTCATGCCTGTAATCCCAACACTTTGGGAGGTCAAGGTAGGTGGATTGCTTGAGCCCAAGGGTTTGAGATGAGCCTCAGTAACAAAGTGAGACTCTGTTTCTAAAAGTTTTTTTAAAGATTAAAAAAAATAAGAAAAAAATTCAAAGATGTACCAAGTTAATAATCTTCATTTATGTATTTGAAAGACAACCAAAGTATGCAAAGGTATTAAAAAGGTAATCATTATAAACAGTCATTTTTCATCAACATTCTTTAAACCAAACACTTGCTTTGTGATTTAATAATGCATCATAGATATTCCTTTAGGTCAATAATTAAATATTTAATTCAATATTTTTTAAAATCAGCATAATATTCCAAACAATATTTATCTCACAATTTGTTCAACATTTTCCTCCCTTGAAATTAATGGAAATAAATGATGAAATTCAAAGAAATTGAAATTATATATTAAAAGCTGGCTTTCAAAAAAGCACAATAAAAGAACCTCTAAGCAGCTCTGATTAAGGTCAAAAGACAGAGTACTAGTATAAATGGGAATGAGGCAAAAGATAGAGTCAAAGTTAAAAACGATTATGAAAATATTATTGCAAAAATTTTCAGAATCACAAAGAAAATGATGATACTGTAGAGAACTATTGAAGCAAAATCTACCTCTGTGAAGTAAAACACATCAAAAACCATACAAGGATCAGAAAACAAATTTAAAGACCCACGATTTAAATTTGCAAAGATTCCATGCAGCTTTAGAGTTAAGCTGATTCTCTTAACAATATGATAATTCCATTGTCATTTAAATTAGTTCAGAATAATAAAACATATGAAAATTTACAATACATTTTATGATGAGAGCATAACCTAAATACAATCACCTGATTCAGCAGAAAAGACTACTGACAATACATATTAGATGTGTAAATAATCCAAGAAGACACTGGAATTTCATATTGTGTTTTTAGTGTTTAGCTCCTCTTTGTCCTGAAGAAATTTGCATTGAATGGAATATACCAACATGAAAAAGTTTATTTTCAGCTCTTATGTCTTCACAGAATGCCACAGTTTTTGGAATCTAACATAAATTTTAAAAACAACTATATGTTTTGTAGCTACATAGAAAATATAGAAGCAATAATTACTTCTGCACAAAGGGATCATTTCAGGTGGCAAAAAAGTAAAAGCTTTATATTTTTTCTTACTATTTTTTCCCAGTTGATGAAACCTGTTAATGTCTGATACAATTACAAACTCAGGGATTTGGGATTTTATGTCAAATTTTATGTAAAAAATGTGCATAAATTTTCTTATACAAAAAAAGCACCTGCTAAACTTGATATATAATGAAATTCAGATAGAAATTAGCAAATGATAAAAAACTAAGGTGACAAGATTTGAAACTGCAGGAAGACCAGGACAGATAGTAAATTTTTACTCAATACTATTGGAGTACTTTAATACTAGAGCCATCCGGCATGTTAATTATTTTGTGGTAATTGTTTTACAGATGATTGTGATTTAGGTTAACTTTAGTAAATTATAGCTTATTCCTAATTACCAATTATTTTTTAAATGGAAGCTTAAATAGATATGCAGTCTTACTTTGAAATTTTATTATAATATTCTATAAACTCTAACGTCAGTTAAATACTTCTAAAGCATAGGTTTAATAAAGCTAATGACTTTTGCTTTTCCAGTCAATTTACTTAAAGTATTACATTAGCAATTGTTTTAATTTTTCTTAGGAATCTCTTTTTTATGTTAGCATATATGTATGCATTTTATTTCATTTGATCTATTTAGTTGATACTATTGTTGAAAACCCCAGGATCCTTGTGGCCTTGACACATTTTAGTATTTAGAAGAGTTAAAGATAAATTATTTTTATTATTCTCTGTTCATTATTTTTGTTTGTGGCTTATTGGGTTTTATAAGAAAAATATCTTTAAATTATAAAATTCATATTTATTATATTCTATATCCCAAAGCCATTTGCATAATATAAATTGCTAAATAAGTTGTGAAATCAACAAGTTAAGAATGATAACTTTAATATTGTTTAAATGACTAAAGTAAAATCAGCTTTTACCTTATGATAAAATGTATAATTCCCCCAGTAAATATGATTTAAATGCAATTCATATTCTTAACTCTACCAGTGACATTGAATATTAAGACTCTAGAGCTTATAATAAAGGCACTCAAGTCATATTGATTACTTATAATGAGTCTCTTAAATTAATGGGTCACCTGCTGCTTCAGAAGCTAGTACAGATCTCTAAGTGGGTAAAAATGAGTGGTTTTAAGTTGATTTATAGGTCCTGAAACCAATGATGAAAACAATTATGGTAACAAAGCTTTCAGCAAAATTATTTAACAAATACAATCAAACATTAAAATTATGAATATTTCTATAATGACTAGGTTGCTACATCATTTAGTGTTTGGTACCTGGGTTTATTAATAGCTATTTCATTCATAAAGATCTTTTTTTTTAATTTTTTCATTACTGCTTCATTTTTTAATAGGTCAGGTGTCAATAGTCTGGCTTATTTAAATATAAGACAATGCAACTGACTTAAAAGCATGTGCACAACTGATTCATTTGCAGGTTTTTACTTCATAATAACTCCAATACCAATAATAAAAATATAGCTTATAGAATTCCTCCATTTGATTCCTTCATTTGGATACATACTCAGTTCAAGTCAGTGTTCAAAGCAATTGGATAGAGTGGTGAACCAGACAAGCAAGATGGAAAAAAACAGTTTCAACAGTTATAGACCAGATATTTTCAGATAATCATAAGTAATATAAAATTCCTTTTGGATGGCTATAAACAGTTTTCAAATCATTTTCATGTATATTGATGTCATTGATATTCACAATAATGTTGAGTGAATAATATTATTATAAAGTTATATCTGGAATTGTGGAATACAAAGGGGCTAGAGCCCTGACTTAAGACATGGAGAGGGGAGAAAATAAATTCGAACATTTAACCTTAACTATAGAATGGAAAAAAATCAACTGAAACATACAAAAATAAACCCACTTTATAAAAGCCATAATTCTCATGCTCCAAATAAGCTGAGTGTATATATATATATATATAAATATAAAATACAGTTTTCACACACATATATATAAAACAGCTTATTGAGATATAATTCACAAACCATGAATTTCATTCTTTTTTTTTTTTTTTTTTTTTTTTTTTTTTTTTTTTGAGACGGAGTCTCGCTCTGTCGCCCAGGCCGGACTGCGGACTGCAGTGGCGCAATCTCGGCTCACTGCAAGCTCCGCTTCCCGGGTTCACGCCATTCTCCTGCCTCAGCCTCCCGAGTAGCTGGGACTACAGGCGCCCGCCACCGCGCCCGGCTAATTTTTTTGTATTTTTAGTAGAGACGGGGTTTCACCTTGTTAGCCAGGATGGTCTCGATCTCCTGACCTCATGATCCACCCGCCTCGGCCTCCCAAAGTGCTGGGATTACATTCTTTAAAGTATACAATTCAGCATTTTTTTTGTATAGTCACAGGATTGTGCAGCCATCTCCCCCACCTAATATTAGAAAGGTGGCATCATCCACACTTAGCATTCATTTCCCACATCTGCCTTGCCCCAGGCCCTGGTAACAATTAATCTACTTTTTGGACATTTCATATAAATTGATTTATACAATATTTATTCTTCTGTGTTTGGCTTCTTTTACTTAGCATAATGTTTACAAGGTTTATCCATGTTGTAGAATGCATCAGTACTTAATTCCTGATACATTTATGGCTAAATAATATTCCATTGTATGAATATAAAATAATTTGTTATCCATTTATCAGTGATGGAGATCTGGGCCGTTTCCACTTGTTAACTATTATTTATGATGCTGATATGAGTATTTGTGCACAAGTTTTTACATGAACATAAATCTTCAATTTTCTTGGTGTATACCTAGGAGTAGAATTACTCAGTGATATGGTAACTCTGTTTAAATATTGAGCACCTTTTGAAGTGTTTTTCATAGGGGCAGCATGAATTCATATTCTCATCAGCAGTGCATAAGAGTTTCAATTTATCCACAACCTCATCAACATTTGTTATTCTCTGTCTTTTCTAGTATATCCATCCTACTAGGTATGAACAATAGCTCATTGTTGTTTTGATTTGCATTTCACAAAGGAACACATTTTCATATGCTTATTGGCCATTTGTATACCTTCTTTGGAGGAAAATCTATTTAAGTTTTTTGGCCATTTAAAAAATTAAATAGTCTCTTTATTGTTGAGTTGTAAATGTTCGTTATATATTCTGGATACAAGTTCCTCATCAGTTATATAATTTGAAAACATTTCCTCCCTATTTGTGGGTCATCTTTTCACTTTACTGATGACATCCTTGAAACATGCATTTTTTCATTATAATGAAGTTCAATATATGTCTTTATTTGTTGCTTGTGCATTTGCTATTGTATCTAAGAAATCATTACTTTATCTAAGGTCACTATGATTCACCCCTATGTTTTCTTCTAAGAGTATTATAGTGTTAGTTCTTACATTTAAATCTATGAATGCTTTGAATTAATTTTTGCATATGGTATGAAGCAGGGGTCTGATTTAATTCTTTTGCAGTGGATATCCAGTGGTTCTATAACTATTAATTGAAAAGACTATTATCCCCATTAAATGTTCTTACACCCTTCTTGAATCACACTCCAGTTTTACAGACAAATAAACAGAGGCTAAGAGAAGTAAAAATATCAGGAATATAATGTCATGTTAGTGATAGAGATAAGTTTTCAAGCTTGAATTGGCTGGCCACAAATCCTTGCATCATACCAGTGTTCTCGGCTCTGGATCCTGGATGGGTAAAGAAAAAAAAGCCATGTACTTTGAATTATTACAGCATCTTTGAATCTATATTCCATCATTTAAGGTCTGTAGACTGAGTGTATAAGAGCATCTACCATAATATTAAAAACTCCTGATATTTTTTGACATTCAAAAGGAAACTGAGTGTGTGTGTGTGTGACTGTGGTATATTATATCATACTGTTTTATTTTTTTAAAGAAAGATTTAGACATTTCAGGAAATTACATTCTAAATGGTGAAACATTTGCCATATACTATATACATTCCTAATGACTTTACCCTTATTCAGAGTACTACTACAGAAGAGAACATGTTGGGAGACCTCACATAGACACGTGTTTCAGTGAAGGGTTGTAAACGCTCTCAATAATTGGAGCTCATAAAATAATAAAATATAGTAATTCCAGTTTTATATTCCTGGTATATAGAAGTTAACAGTGTCCACACTACTTCCTTTGGCAAATGAAATATGACTACAAAGAACATGTGTAACTTCCATATAGAAGCCATTAAGAGACCTTGAATAACATGTTCCCTTCTCTCTGCCATGGTGACCAAGCGTATTTCAGACAGAGGAAGCTTCATCCACCTGTGTCCCATTTTGTGGAAAACCTGAGATAAACATATAGTCAAAATGAGAAATGTATATCTGTGTATTTATTTGTTTTGATTCATTGATATTCATGGTTTGTTTTCATCACAAGATAACTTAGTCTTTCCTGCTTAATACCATAGCTTACAGTCTTTAGAAAGGCCTCAGATACTAGTATTTTACTTAACATTTAAACACTGTGTTAAATAAATATTCAACACCAACATATGCACTCCTATACTCATTCTTGCAATATAGTCACATAAATTATGCATGATTTGGAAAGTTTAGAGGTATTCTTAAGTTAAATTCTTAATTTGGAGGAGCATATTAATAAGTTATATGATATGAAATGATGTTCTTTATACAATGTGTTTATGAGGAAATGTGTTATTCAATACGAAAACATATGTTCATTACTTGGAATACAGATTTCTTCACACATTTGTTTCATCACACCTAGATATAGTTTATAAAACTGGAAAAAAGATGGCTAGTTTAAATTAAATAAAACTCACTATTAATAAATGTTATTTATATATATATAAAGGGGAATTTATTAAGTATTAACTTCCACAATCACAAGGGCCCACAATAGGCTGTCTGTAGGCTGAGGAGCAAGG
This sequence comes from Homo sapiens, assembly GCF_000001405.40. Taxonomy (NCBI): domain Eukaryota; kingdom Metazoa; phylum Chordata; class Mammalia; order Primates; family Hominidae; genus Homo; species Homo sapiens. The sequence goes on along the minus strand of NC_000004.12, from coordinate 96,361,631 downwards.
AGAGCCAGTCCAAGTCCCAAAACTGAAGAACTTGGAGTCTGATGTTCGAGGGCAGGAAGCATCCTGCATGGGAGAAAGATGTAGGCTGGGAAGCTAGGCCAGTCTCGCCTTTTCCCGTTTTTCTGCCTGCTTTATATTCACTGCAAGCTGACTAGATGGTGTTCACCAGATTAAGGGTGGGTCTGCCTTCCCCAGCCCACTGACTCAAATGTTAATCTCTTCTGGCAACATCCTCACAGACACACCCAGGATTAATACTTTGCATGCTTCAATCCAATCAAGTTGACACTCAGTATTAACCATCACAATGTGGTTTTAAAAGGTACATGGAAATATGCAAAATTTTTTACCTTTTTCTTTTGCTCCCATTCCCCAAGGACTACCACTGTTTACTGAATTTGTTTTTTAATCTGTTGATTATGACCAGTATAACATTTTAAATAAAACATTAACTTATTAGGCTCATTCTACTGTAATAATTAATGCAAAATAAATGAATTTTTCATTGTTTTTGTTTTTCTTTTGTGACATGTTTGCATCTAACTTCTTATTCTTTCATTTGTTTCTATTTACTTTGTTTAAAATAAAAAGTGCATGTGTTCTTATGATAACTGAAACACTACAAAAATGATGTAAGACGTTAATAATCTTTTCTAACCTTCATTCCCACCCCTGTGGTGTAATCAGTCTAAGCAGATTGCTGTATTTCTTTGCCCATTTATCTCCAGTCATATGATACTATGAAACATATGTGCACATCCACAGGAGTGGCAGACATTGTTAGTCACTCATCCAATATTCATTTTTCTCTTCTACCTTACAAATAGAGCCCCTAATTCATAGTTATTTTTTTTAGGGAGAAAGTTTGCCAATGTGCCCTGTTAAAATATTTACCGTCATAGTTTTCCTTTCTGATAGGGATACAATGAGACACAATTCTTGGCAATGAGAAGAATGGAGATGTCACTCACTGGTTGGGCTTTTGGGAAAGTTTTTAAAGAGAAACAGGCTCAGCTGTCCCTTATTAAGCTTGGTGAGCCTTGTCCTTTCTATCAGTTTGAAACATGACTATAAGAAGTGGGATGTGACGAGCCATATGCCTCTAGGACTAGTGGAACAAAAAAATAGAACAAGGTTTGGGCACTGAACGTCTGAAGAAGCCACTGCACCACTCATCATACACTGCTTAATCTGCAAACTCTTATTTTGTTAGGAAAATAATATCCTTACCTTTGTTGTTTAATAGTGAATAACGGGCATTCTTCAAAGTCAATAACTCTATATCTGTTGTGTTACTTTGAGGAGTTTCACATCATCAGTAATATTGATATAGCACCATTTGTCTATTTCCTAACCCAGCTATTTAAAAGGTTGCTTCTAGCTTCTCACCTACAAACAATATTGCAGTAATCACCCACATAGGTAAGTTCTTAGGTATTGGTGTTTTGTGATCATTACAACATAATCTCCCATGTGACTTTGCTCAAATTTTAATAAACATTTTCTGATTACTTTCCAAAGACGTGTAGAAATTCACACTGCCACAGTGTGAACTCATGAGGAAATGTATGAGTTTCAGTTCTCCAAATGCATATTGCCATTGAATATTATTTAATATCACAAAATTATTAATTTTTAAATAAAATTAATCAAGGGCTCAAAAACTTATATGCCATCGTCATTATTTATATATTTGTTGTTCATCTGGATTACCCTTTCTCAGGATTGGTTATTATATCCTTTAAATAACTTTCCTTTGATTTGTCTTTTTCTTAACAGTTTCTAAATTTATTTGTATGTTAGAGTTATTATCCCAATATATTTACTACATGTTGCAAATATTTCGTTCCAATCTATTGTTTGTCTTTTGATTTTTTTAATGGAATGTTATGCAATTAAAACATATATATATTTAAATAAAATACTTGCATACATGTTTCTTGATTTGTCATCCTTATGTAAGATTAATTAATGCCTGGTCTTCAGGTACCAACACGACTTCCCTGCTCTCTTAGCAACTTCACTTCCAAAATTTAATTTTAAATAATGCACTTTTCCATCTTTTTCTTAGTTTGTCAACTACAATAAATTCATTGATTCCATACCACAAAGTTTTTTTTAATTAGCACACTTTTATATCTTTCCATCTTTTCCTATTGTAACTACCTGAATTGTTGCTAGGAATATCATTATTTTTACAAGATCTAGTTTACATCACTGTCACAGGGACACTATCATAGCTGTTTAGGAGCATAATCACTTTGGGTCTTCCTGAAATTCTGCAGAGTGTGGCAGCATTACAATTATAATATAATTTTATATTATATTTACCATTATAAATAATAGCTCATGCTTTCAGTATGTTTTTTAATACAAAGACTAAAAATAGATAAAGGTAGTTTGTACAGTATAGATAAATTTTATTCACTCTTCTTCCAGGCATTTCCTATTCTTAGGAACTTACTCTGATCTTATGTGGCAATAAAGCGACTACTTGAGATGCATGAATATTGAGAGAATGCTGCAGGCCACTTCATGGTTATCCACAGATATAATGGTTTATTTAAGATTTTCAGTGCTTTCTATAATAAACAATGTTTTGTATCTTTTTTCTTTATTTAGGGTACTGGATGCCTAGTTCCTAAGGACTGGCTATTGAATGCTCCTAGATCTTGAATCTACCTTTGGATAACTTGTCCTTTAGACTTTTCTATTATCAGAGACTCAGAATAATTTCCAGTCCATGGAGATGTCTTGAGTAAACTTTTGTCAAATTGGTGGACTATTCAAACATTGACATAATATTTGCAAAATTGTTAATAGCTGTGAGACAAGGGCATTAGCCCTTCTATCTTTCTTAAATACAAGGATTGATATCTGCCTAATACAGCAAAATAGAACACAACATGTTCATTAATCAAATCTATCAGCTTTATCTACAACCTTTATGTTGTAGAAAAATGAATCATAGATGATTAGAAAATATAATCTTGGCTGATATTTTTTATGATTTCCTTGGATTTAAAGTTATAAGGCCTTGCATCTTTAGCCATTTCTTGTTCCAACTGTCATTTATTTAATGAGCAAAACGGTATCTTTGTTGTGTAGAATTTTTAAAAAGATGTTATTGTAGGGTGGAATATTTAATGTTGAGGTCCTGTTTGATGCTGAATAGATTAGCTAACTCTAGTTTTCTCTCTTCTAATGACAACTTTAATAAATAAGTACAAAAATTAATGCTCGGTTTGGTTTGATAATTATACTTTCTTAAACTAGATGTATTCATCTCTATTTGCCTCTAATTTTCCATCTCTTTTCCTTATGATTAGACTTACATTTTCTATGTGAAGCACAATGTAAATTGTATATTTTTTATTATAGTAATTATTACATTTATGTTAGCAGTGGCATTTACCACTCTACATTCATTTAACATAAGATGTTCTCCTTGAACTGAAGCCTAATGACAGTATAATTCAGTCTTTGTACAAGTGGTTCTTTTTCTTTTTTCAAAGAGTTGTTTTTAATGTAGTGGTGAAAGGTAAATGTAAGCTAACAATAGCCTCAGAGAATTAGGAGACCTCATTTATCAGGAAGGAAATGCTATATCAGATAATTTTTAATTTCTAAAAAAATGTGGCTTGCCAGTATTTACAATTCACATCCAGCAAATTGCAAATTGATGTAATTGTGAAATAAATTCAGCAATTTTTAATCTAAATTTAGTAAATTTTTTTTTCTTTTTCCATCTTGGTTTTGCTGACATTTGTTTCTAGCATAGTTAGCACTGTTTTCTTTATTTTTTAACTTTTTCTTCTTTTGGTTTCTACTCAGCAGCTATTATTTTTCTACTTTATACTTTTATCAAATCTCCTTTTTAAAAAAATCAGAAGCATAGGTATGAATTTTCAGAATTTTAGCAAGGTAAAGTGTTACTGGGAAGGGATTCCAATCCAGACCCCAAGAGAGGGTTCTTAGATTTTGCACAAGAACGAATTCAGGGCGAGTCCCCAGTGCAAAGCGAAAGCAAGTTTATTAAGCAGGTAAAGTGGTGAAAGCACAGCTACCCCATAGACAGAGTAGGGAATTCCCAAAAGTAAGAGGAGGAACGCGTCCACCCTAGTACAATAATTTATATATAGGGTTACAAAAAGGATTATGGGGAAATGTACTCCGCTACAAGGGTTTGTGATAAAGGATAAATGTTCTTAATCACTATATATTGCAAGAATCAATATTATTATCTTTAAAGCAAAATTAGAGATGCTTCTGTTCTCAAGATGTTGGGATATCAGGACACTCCCAAGTCTGGGTCTATTTAGTAAATGTTATCAATCTGTTCCCCTAACCATAAACTTCTAGAGGCTAGGAATACCACACTTTCTGGGAATGCAGCCCAGCAAGTCCCAGCCTTATTTTTCCTAGCTCTCACTCAAGATGTAATCACTGTGATTTGAATGCCTCTGACAAAAGAACAACTTTTATTTTGCTTTTTTGCACTTGGCAAGTTAAACCAAAATGAGAAATAGTTGACTTTCTGACCTTAGCCAACCAAAGACTGCATAGAGACAACTGTCTGGTCATTCTAATTGGGGAATAGTAAAAGAAAAAAAATCACAAGGCTTCAACTAACTCTATGCTAAATTGGGCAAGTTACTATTTAGCTTTTGAGCAAAAGTATTTGTATGAATGAATTAATACTGAGACAGGTAACCTGGCTGGTTTCTTGTTTTGAAGTGATTTAGAGCAAAAAGAACAAAAGCCCCTTACTCAAGCTGTAGCTCACCTAACTTCCAGCCAGTCAAGCATCAACAAAAGACCCAAGAATTATTAACAGCAAGTTCCTGGTTTAGATGACTAACGACTTCCACAGGACCCTGCATGCACAGTCTGCCTTAAACCTCAACTTGTAGTTACCTCTTACTCATTTTAATGCTAAAAGTCATGACCAGGGATGGAGATTTAAAATGTTAATATTATATGCAATGTATGAAGAATCATGTAAAGCCACTGCTCAAGTGCTAGAGAAATCCCGCCTATACATAGCCTGGTGAAACCTTTCCCTATAGAAAGACTTATAAAACTAACCCACATACTATCTTCCAGGGAGCAACTTGCCTTGTCCTTTCACGGTGCTGACTTCCTTGTGCACAAGCTTTAAATAAACTTTTCTGTTTCTCTTTGCTGCTATGTCTGGTGGTCTCTCTTGATTTCTATCCTGGGGGGTTATAAGAACCCAGGAGCACTGGTAACAATACCACTAAAATTTACTAAATTCTTGGAAAGTAGAATTAAAGAAGTAAAATAGCTACATAAAAGTGTTTCATAAATTAGAAAATTGTTTGTATAGTTTAGGTATTAATATTATTATTATTAAGGTGATTGGATTATGCAGAAAAAAACAAATAATGACAAATATTTAGAAAACCAGCCTACACAGGCTGACCAGACTTCTTTTTCTGGTAAGACAGTGTAGTACAGTGACAGATGCACCGCAAGACTCCAGAATGAGAAAGTATGAAACAGTTCACCTGACAGATCCCAGGGCAGTAAAATGCTGTCATATTTTCTCTTATAGTGAGTAGATTACTAAGATGGCAGTCTTTGAGTGCAATAGAACCTGTGACTTGTGTCTAGCCAATAGAAGGTGGAAAAAGTAGTGAGATAGTCACTTGAATGATTAGATTATACATTCCATTTTTAGCTTACTTGAGTGAGAACTTCTATTGGCTTTGAAAAAATAAGTAGCTATGTTTTTAATGACCCCTAAGCAGGCCACATAACAGGCAACAAAGTATAAGGGGGCTCCTAGGATCTGAGAGCATTTCCTGGTTGATAGCCAGCAAGGAAGTAACAATTTCAGTCAATGTAACAATAAGGAACTGAATTCAGCACAACCACATGAGTTTGGAAAAGAATCCGGAGTACCAGAAAAGAAAGCGGTCTGGCCTGTATTTAGATTGCCACCTTGGGACACCCTGAGCAGAGGACCTGAACTTTTGACTCCAAACCAGAGAGATAATGAATAGATGTGGTTTCAAGCTGCTAAGTTTTTGATGGGGTGTTATGATGCAACATAGAAACTAATACACCTAGTAGTGAAAGGATTCAATCTATCCAGTAAGACAAAAAGGTTTAACTCATATTTTATAGACAGGGAAGCATTTTTATCCAGAAAAAAAATCTTATAATGAGAGGGCTTGGGGCTAGTCTATAAAAACAAAAAACAAAGCGAAAAACACAAAACACACAAGCAGTAAGAGAAATAGCAAATGAATTGCAATGTTACGTTGACATAGTCTATATAGTTGAGTTTGAAGGAATCTATTAAAGAGTTATTTAGTTGCTACTACAACATAAATTGCAAGCTTTTCTCTTAAAGGCTACCACCACTTAATGCAAAAAAAAAAAAAAAAAAAAAATCCACTAGGAATAGAAAGCTAAGGAAACCAAACATGAATGGCTATTCTGCAGGATAATTTTATTAATCTTAGACCATGTTTTATTTAGGAAGGTCAACATTTATTATTATTACTTTAATTTTGCTTTAAAAGTATGAAATAAAAGTTTACACATTTCTTTAGAATCATCATAGGGTGTTACTTTTTTGTTGCTAGAAGTAGAGAAGTGTTTGCTAAGTTTCTTTATCAAATTAATGGAAATGTTTTCACATCAAAATACTCTGATCAGAATACTGTAGATTGAATATGTTCACAGCTTGCTTATATAATTATAAGAATATCTACAGAAAATATCTGAGTAATACATATACATGAAGTGGCATGAATAAAACAAATCAAGCCCTTTGAACTAGTTATTCTACAACTGGGAATCTGTCCTAAGGACAGATCTCAAATTTGCAGAGCTTTATTGCAAATACTGATTATTGCTCTATTATAGCAAAAAACTTCAATCAATCTAAATCTCTAAATGTAAAGAAATTATTAACTCTACCAGACATTAAGGGGATTTGGCAAATAGTTTACAATTAGTGAGTTTCTCACATCTCTAAATCTAACTCCTCAGAGGAAGCTCTGGGAAAGAAATTAAGTCCACAACTCACTGCCTTTCCATTTCAGCACCCCTTGTTCTTTCCATACCCTGCTTTGCCCTTGTCTACAGAGCTATCTCCTCCTATAAGAAAAGCTTGATTTAATGATGGTGAACATTTCTAAAGAACATAGTTAATTTTCAAATGGCATATGTGTAAGATTAGACCCTGAAAGTGAGAGTACATTGCATGTGAAAACTTCAAAAAGACCTGTGTGCTTTGGGAGGAGATTTTGTTCAAAGTTAAAGATTTCATTCTCTTCCCAAGTAGGCCAGAGAAAAGAAATCACAGTTACAGCTGCACATGATAGCAGCTGAACAAATCCCTGGCATCGGAAAGTGAAAGTAAATGGTGTTACTTGCATGTTAGCCTGGGAACTGCAAAACATCTCAGGTGGTTATCTTTGAACGAGTGTCTGAGGGAACCTCCTTTCTTTCTTCATTCCAAAGTTACTATCTCTACTCCATAGCTCCAGTGAATTTCTATGTGTTGGAGTCTCTGAGAACAGCCCATACTCCCAGCTCCAAGCCATGAAAAGCATAAGCAGTGGATAAAAAATGAGGGAATCCATGCTCCCTGGATGAGGAGAAAAAGGTTGAGAATTGTTCTCCTACAGTTTCACGTGTATTTCACCTATTAGGTTGATTAAGCAGTTGAGTACTCCAAGAAGACAGAAATAACTAAATAATTACATCTAGTAGACTTACTGCTTATTGATCAAGTAATGATGCATCTTCTTTCCAAAACATGGAAATAGACTCCAATTGATAAAATGCATCTGAAACACCATAAAAAAATACCTGTGAAACTTATTATTTTCCTTGAAAGTAAAATCACTAATTTTTATATGAATAGCATAGCCCTTTCAATTTTTCTGTCATGAATAGTAAGCTTAATTCATAATATTTCATGCTTTCTAGCACTCTTGATGATTTTTCAAAATAAAAATTTAAGCCTTATAAATTATTTATTGGGAATTTAAGTATATACAAGATACTGGGAGAATGCCATTTGTGGTTACATGTAATATTTATATATCAGATATGGATTTTTATATAATTTGAATCAAATGCATGTAACTTTTTTGCAAATTCAAAGCTAAACAATGCTATTCTGAGGCTAATTTTCAATATGTTAAAAAGAAGTCTATGCATTCATTGGTATTTACACTTGAGGAAAATTGGTCAGAAATAACTTAATGCACTCTATATAAGTGCGTCCCTCAAGTAAAAATAACTCTAGCTTTATTTAACCTAAATATAAATCATAAATATTTTGATCTCAAAGCGTTCAAATACTATTCCTTTTACATTTGCCATTGAGATGGTAAATACTATACATATCCAACTGTTTCAGGAAAACATGTGGCTTATTCAAGTATTTATTGTAGGGATAAAAATTCTCTTTGCCATTTAAAATTTAGACAATAGGTCTAACTTGAACTGGTTGATTTACTCTTTCAAAGATGAGAATTAACATATCCATTACATGTTTTCTAAAATTAATTCATTGGTTTATTTCTTCATTCAAGTATATATTTAGTCTGGCCTTATATGAAAGGGACAGCTTCAGAAACGTCTTGGTATCTGAAGAGGAATAATGTCTCTAGGTATACATATCTGATCTTCAATCTATTTATTAACTATATCCTTTTTGTATGGATAGGTGTATGGAACACTAAGTGGTCAGTGAGGTATTCTTGATTAAATATTTAAAGAACATTTAAGTCTCTTTAGGATTTTGAATGTTCCCACCACTAAGAAATGATAAATGCTTGAAGCCATGTATATCCTAATTACCCTGATTTGATCATTACACATTTTATACATGTATCAAAATATTCTATACCCAATAAATATGTGCAATTATTACATGTCAAGTAAAAATAATTTTAAAATGTAGCTTAACTGTGTGTTTTCCATTCCTAAATAGCTTTATTTAGGAAATGGTAACATCAATGTACCATGTGATATTCGAGTCCCTTTTAAAAAAGAATAAAAGAGAGAGACTTATTTTTCTAGAATGTGATCTTAGAAGATTCCATATTGGAAACCCCATCAAAAAGAAGTCTAAGTGCTTAACATAATTTGCATTCATCCCTTTACTTGTTTATTATCTGACTTCCCACCAGAGGGCAGGGCGTTCTCAGTTTTGTTAATTGCCATACACCCTCATGGCAGTTAGTAGGTGCTCAAAAAAAAAAAAAAAAGGAATTGATTAATTATGCAATCCAACATTTTTGGATTCTATGTTAAATGATATGATTTAACTGTGCTCGTGCTCACATCCACACAGAACTTTACTGTTTATGACACGTATAACAGGAAATTCTTGTCTGCCTTATGAGTTTGTGCTGTTGATAAGAAGAGTTATCAAGTTGCTGTGAAGTTGAAACATCAGACAATTGCAAACATCTCAACTGACTCAGCAAAAACAAAACCTTTGTGAAAGCATTCTGGCTGCAACTTCTGGGTTTACAATCAACTAGGTTTTATCCACACTGTGATGTGTGAGCAGCAGGTGTCTGAAAGCATCAATTGTCCAGTCAGGCCCCTGTGAGGATGGCAAGAAGCTGTATGATTTCACAGAAACTTATAGTGAAGATGGTGCTAAAAGAACAGGGAGTCTGTTCAAAGGATGTCTTCTGTTTTTAATACATTCTATTAAAAAAAAAACTGCCATTTTAAAAATTGCTAGAATTTTATTGCAAACTACTGTTTCCATTAAAATTTCCTGTAAGGACACTGAAAGAATTTTAAGAAATTTTAAATGCAGTAGTGAACTACACATAGTCTTTTATGAGATTGTACTGACCAGAAAATAGCTGAGACAAGCAACATATGCATTTCACAATTTTAGCATTTCCTATGCATGTAGCCATGTAATCCTGTGTATTCTTCTCTGTATTTTGCCTATATGATAAGCATTGGATAGGAGACCCTAAAAATAATCATTGCTAAATGGGAAAATGTCAAACACTCACAACCAAAATTAATGAAAATTCTAATCTTGAAATATATGAAAAAATATAAATCATAATGAAACTATCAGATAGTTATATTGCTATATAAACTTATAAATACTTGCTATTAAAATAGTACTTGTGTTTATTATGCTCTCACATGTTCGAGTTGTTTGCTTTGAAATTAATATGCATACGTCTTAAAATTACATATGTGTGTAATTACATATAGAAGCTTTATATATATGTGTGTGCATAGATAGGTGGGTGTTCAAACTATATAACATCTTTTCAGGGAAAAAAACAATATCATCCATTTCACGATGTAATCATCACCATAATTTTGTCAGGTTTTTGTTTTAGTGGATTAGTTTTTTTGATATATCAAGATCATTGGAAAATCAGACATGTCAGTTTTATATGCTAACATCAAACACGTGGCTAATAATGCTTGAAAAGACACATTTGGGAAAATTCAAGAAAATAGTATCCAAAGTTAATCAGGCTGCCATATCAATTACCCTAAAATAGTCTAAACTCTCCCTTAAAGCTCTCCCAAAGACTAAGCTACAATCAGGTTTTTAAATTTTTTATTTGTTTATTTATTTATATCATTATGTGTTGCTGAGAGAGCAGTAATTACTTATAAGAGTTTTTCCATTAGCACACTCAGTGAGATTGTAAAAACCCTGAAGGTGAGGGAATAAGCTGAATTCGGTTTTGAAAGAAGATGATATTTCATGTAGAGAGAACAAGGAGCACAAGGGCCTGAAATCAAGCCTGTTGTGTTTGAAGTACAACCAGGGGACTAGGGAGCAGGAGCTGCTCAGCAAGATGGAAAGGGTAATGCACAGAAGAAAGAGGGACCAAATTACAGAGTTCTGCAGGCCATATATTCCAGGTGAGGTGGGGCAACAATAAGAGTTTTGAGCAGAGAAGTGATTATCTGCCTATTTGTTAAGAATAATCCAAAAATCAGTAAGGTGGAAGTTGGAAAATCAGTTAGGAGGTGTTGTTATAATCCAGATAAAAGATTTATTTTCCAAATGTCTAGCCAGTTACTCAATAGCATTTGCTGAGAAAAAAAAAAAATCCGTATTTTCTCTATTGATATTTAATGCTTTCTTCCCTTCTAACTGGATAGGATTACTATAATAATAAAAATAGCTGGATACAGACATGTATACATAACCAGAAATACATCTAAATTTTATGACATATAAAAATAGTCTGTTAAGATATTGATTGTAATTGTGTTGAATTAAGAGATCAGTTTAGTGAAAATAGGCAGCTTTATAATATTGCGACTTGTCACCCAAGAATGAATCATAATCAATGCTCTCTTTTGTGATGAGCCACCACAAGAATGGCTAACCTTTTACAATAAATAACTAACTTGTTTTTGAAAGCTTACTATGTGACAGCCACCATTCTTTTTTTTTTTTTTTTTTTTTTTTTTTGAGATGGAGTCTCACTCTGTCACCAAGGCTGGAGTGCAGTGGCACGATCTTGGCTCACTGCAACCTCCACCTCCTGAGTTCAAGCAATTCTCCTGCCTCATCCTCCCAAGTAGGTGGGATTACAGGCACATGCCACCATGCCCACTAATTTTTTTGTATTTTTAGGAGAAACAGGGTTTCACCATGTTGGCCAGGCTGGTTGCGAACTCCTGACCTCAAATGATCCTCCCCACCTTGGCAACCCTAAGTGCTAGGATTATAGGCATGAGCCACCTGGCCCAGCCACAGCCATCATTCTAATCATTATATGCTTTAATTCGTTTAATGCTCACTCCAACCTTATAAGATAGCTACTATTACTATTACTTCCATTTTATAGATGAAACACTGAGACTTAGAGAGATTAAGTGATTTGTCCAACACCAGACAAAATGCAGACAGACCAGAGCCTTCTGCCACTCGTAGAGCATCTGTTTGGTCTTCTTTCTTACATCTTATCTGACATTTTGTTAATACATCTTCATTTTCTCTTTTTGTTCTGTCTTTTGTTATACGGTCTGTTGCCTCGGAAAAGTTATAATCTGTTATTATTCTGCTAGAAATAATCATTTTTTTTACTTTAAATCATAACTTAAACTTTTTTTCTCTGCTTTAATAACTTTAGATAAAAGTATATGGTATTTTCCTTCTGTGGAAGGTGAGAAAATTGATGAATTAATGAACACTTTCTTCAACCTCTCTTCCCTCACTTTTAATGTGACTGGTGTGTTCTATGGTTTTTGTGTTTTTTTTTTTTTTTTTTTTTATCACAGCCAGTAAAGATAGCTAATACTGGTTATTTTTATATCACATAGTATGTCTTCTCCAATAAATAAGTTGTATTATTCCTTTCTCAATAAAATCATCAGTTATTTAGTTATGCCTATATTTTAGTGTATGTACTTATCTCTTAATACCTTCAGATCCTATCAGGTAATACATTTTAGAAAAAAATTTTATAATCCCCAACTCAAGTTGCCTTAAATTTTTAGAAAATGCATCTTTCATAATTAGAAGCCTACAGATGGTATAGGACCCAAGACCAATGCAATGAACATCAGTCTCAATATCATTGAGGAGCAGATGTGAGGGTGATCTGGCCGTGACATCTGTCACCCCATTGATTGTCAGGGTTGACTCAGCTGATCTGGCTGGCTATGCGGGTGTCCCCTTCCTCTCTCACTGCTCCATGTATGTCCCTCCCAAAGCTGCACGCTTGGTTGAAGAGGACGACCATCCTCGATAGATCCGAGGACTGGTCTTCGGTCAAGTGTATACAAGTAGCTGTGCTCCCCTGCTAGAACCTCCAAACAAGCTCTCAATATCATTGGGGACCAATGTAAACTTTAACCTCAGACTGACAGCAAATAGCTGGAGAGATTCCGGATACCACAGCAACATCCAAAGACAAGGAGACAAAGAGGAAAATAGCTAAGTGAAAAAGAGAGTTTCTCTTTCTTCATTCTTAGGTATAATGAAATTTTCTCAGAAACCATTAGCACACTTTCCCTCATGTAGTATTGGAAGTCCAATTTCCACCATTGAAATCTTACTGAGAAGAGAGACGAAATGAACATGTAGATTAGCTTAGATTATCTGGGTCTAGAATGCCTGAAATTCTATCAAAAAGCCCCCTAAATACTGTCGTCTCCACAAGTAAGCTATTTATTTGGAGTCATCTTTTGAACATCTAGAATGTTAATGAAGAGCTATATTTCTTGTATTCTTCCAGAAGAATACAAGATATTCTTGTAAAATAAATATATCTGAATATGTCTATAAATATGTCTTCCTGATGCTTTTATGTATGAAACACAACTATTTCCTGCATATGTAATTCAGAATTCAAAATATTTTCTTTCATGTCCAGTGTCATATAGTTGGGATCGCACAGTATGCAGCTTTCTCAGATTGGCTTCTTTCACTTTCTAATATGCATTTAAGGGTCCTCCATGTCTTTTAATGATTGGATAGCTCATTTCCTTTTGTTCCCCAAAAATATTTTATTGTTTGGATATACTACCATTTATTTACCAGCCACTGAAAGACATCTTGGATTTTTCCAAGTTTTGGCAATTATCAATAAAGCAGTTATAAACATCCATTGAGATGGAGAAGAAACCCTTCTACGGGTCTGCTGGGCCACTCCTCAAGAATGGAAATTAAGAAAAATCTTGAGGTCCCTCAAGGGAAATTCCAGACACCTAGCTAGCCTTGAGAAGTACATGAGTCATCTAATAAGCAAGAAGGTAATAATAGCTTAAAACAATAGCCAAGGAAGTGGAGCCACAAGATGTTTGGTTTTCTATAGAAACTAAAGATAACATCTTATCGTATGTCCCCAAGTTGTTTTACAGAAACCAAAGAACACAGATGGGGGGCACTGAAGGTTGAACTCTGACCACAATAATCTGTTCTAAATTTCTCCCTGAGGAACATGGAGAGAGTCATGCCCACAGGCCAGACTTTAACTTTCTGTTGACCTCAAGTTTTCAGACAAAGCGTTGCTTCCTTAACCAACTGCAAATCAGACAATCTTTGAATCCACCTATGACCTGTAAGTCCCTGCTTTAAGACAGCCCACCTTTTTAAGCCAAACCAACATATAAACACTATGTATCAATTTATGATTTTGCCTGTAACTTCTGCTTTCCTGAAATTTACTCCATCCTTTAAAAACCCTTTCATGTTAGCCAACAGAGAGGTCAGGTCTCATGCAGAAGCTGCATGATTCTCTTGCTCTGCAAATAAATGCCCTCCTTTCTTTTACTGCACAACCTTGGTGTGGATGTTTCACTTTACTGCACTAGGCAAGCTGATCCAGGTTTGGTTCAGTAACACCATGTGCAGGTTTCTTGTGTGGACATAAGTTTCATCCCATTTAGGGAAACATCTAAGAGTGCGATTTTTGGCTTGTATAGTAAGAATATGTTTAGTATTGTAAGAAACTACCAACCTGTCTTTCTAAATGGCTGTACCATTTTGCATTTCCATGAGCAATGAAGGAGAGTTGCTGTTGACCCACATTCTCTCCAGCATTGGGAGTCCTCAGTGCTTTGGAATCGTACCATCCTAATAGGTGTATAATGGTATTTTATTGACATTTTAATTTGAATTTCCTTAATAAACAAGTTGGGACATCTTTTTATATGCTTAGTTACCATCTGTACAACTTTTTTAGTGAGGTGTCTATTCAGGTCTTTGGTCAACTTTTTCATTGGGTTGTTTCTTTTCTTCTTGTAGACTTTAAGCATTCTTTATATATTTTGAATAAATATACCTCATCATATATACCTTTATTAGATATGTCTTGCAGAAGACAGCCTGTGATTTGGCTTCTCAGTCTCTTTAATTAAAATGTCTTTAACAGAGCATAAGTTTTTAGTTTTAAAGAATTCCAGTTTATCAATTATTTCTTTCATTAACAGTGTCTTTGATGTCATATTTAAAAAGTCATTGCCATTTCCAAAGTCATCTAGATTTTCTCTGATGTTATCTTCTAGGAGTTTTATAGTTTTGCATCTTATAGTTAAATCTGTGATCTATCTTGAGTTCATTTTTGTGAAGAGTAAAAGGTCTGTGTCTAGATTCAGTTCTTTTCATATTGATGTCCAATTTTTCCAGCACAATTTGCCAACAAGAATATCTCCTTCTCCATTGTTTTTGCCCCTTTCTCAATGATCTGTTGACTATGTTTTTGTGGGTCTATTTCTTGGATCTAAGCAATATTGTTTAAAAGACAAATTTAAAAGACAAATTTTCAGGATGTTTTTATAATCTGCACAAACCTACATCCCCTTCTAGTTGAAAGGGATAAATGAAGTCTTACCCACTGAATCCTCCTTTTAAATAGAACAGTAAGTATGCCACGAAAATTGTCTTGATAAACTATTTGCTTTGCTCAAATAGAACAGTAAGTATTCCAACAAAATTACCTTGATAAACTATTTGATTTTAAGTTGAAATAAGATATACAACACCCACAAGCACACTCACTCACAGTCACGGACACTTAACATTTCAGATTCTCATTCTTTCTCTAGAGCAAAACGAGATAATTTAATCAGCTGTGCAAAATTATCTAGTGCTCAGAATGTAATGTTCATGTTCGGTCTTATTTACCTCAAAAGGTAGTGCTCTGAGTAGTGCTAGGATGATCCTCAAATGGGTTCTACTCCCAAAGCTTGAACACAATTCTTAAAGTGTTGTTCATTTTTTAAAAATAACTGTTAGTATGCCATTCTCCATCAATTAGAAAGTATGAAAACATTTTTAAATGTGCTATCATCTTCACTATAACAGTTAGGTGGATCTCTGTATATCATGATTAATTTAGATTAAATGGAAATCGGAAATTTCCAATTTATATAAACTGGTGGATTGAACTACATTTTGGGCACCTGAATCATATAGGCTCAGTAATTTGAATTTTAATCAGTAAGAAATTTCTATTAGCCAATTTGAAATCATTTGGCTGAAAATCACCAACAATAATCATTATTAATAATAGTAAATTATCATTATTGTATCCTCAACAATTTGGCTTCAAGTGATTTTGACTATAATTAGAATAAAGATAAAGACTGCTAAAAGTTTCTTGAATATCAAGTCTACAGGAGACAGGGAGACCAGGGAGTACATATTAATAGATAAAGAAGAAGAAATCCTATTTTTTAAGCGGGTCAATGCAGGTAAGACTAAAGAGGTAATTGTTTTAACCAATTTCCTAGGTTTTCTCCATATCCGATTCGGGAAGTTATTGATGTGGGGTTCAATGTTTAAGAGGGGGTCCCAAATACCTTCTGATTATACCATCATTTCATGCTCAAGCCTACCCTGGGTGATTCAGAGAAGAAAAGTAACATCAGGAGTGATATGTGAACCTGTAGGATTGTGGAGATTCTAGGACATAAGTGAGAGGGTGATTGGATAAAGATGAGAAAAAGATCCAAGTCTAATGTAATTTGCTAAACTATGGAAGCACAAATTTGGTAAAAGAGAATCTCATAATATCCCATAACTATGTTCTTTTCAAATAAAATGAGGAGAGACACAAATTGATTAAAACAATTGCCTTCTTAATCTTACCTTTATTGAGCTACTTAAAAGTAAGCTTTCTTCTTTACTCTTTAATATGTAGCCTGATCATTCTGTTCCTTGTAGATCTGGTATTTAAGGAGCTCATGGCATTTGCTATCCTTATTCTAATTCTAGTCATAATCACTACCAGCCATGGTAATTGCACTTAATGTCCATCACTAGCCCTCACTGCAAAAACAAAACAAAACAAAACAAAACAAATCCTCAGTTTTAGAAATTCCTCTTTTTGTTATGATTCTGATTTCTCAGCCACTTTAGATGACCACAAAATTTAAAAGCAGAATCAATGCAAGTTTCTTCGCTTATCCCCTTCCCCATCAGGGGTGGCATCTTTTTCTGAGGTTGTTTGGCAGCTATGATATGTGATGGCATCTAAGCATCTGGCCTGTGGTTGGCATTTGGTGCTGTCTGATGCATCTAGTCATGTCTACAGCACAACCATTTTTCTCAAGTCCTCAAAAATCTGAAATTACTAGTTATAGGCAACTTTATATGGAGATAACAGTACTCCCTACTTATAGTGGTGGCGTGTTAAATGAGTTCATATATAGGAAATTCTTATAATAATGACTATTATGCACAAAGTGTCCTGGTTATAATCATCATCACCATCATTGTCATTATTATTTTAATTTCAACTCTTATTAAGCACATGTGATTTCCGTTCATAAATTTCCATTCCTGCTACTCTTCTGTGAAGAAAATCCAGCATATCTGTTTGTGTTGGTGGGGCGAACAAGGAGGACAGTGGACAAAAAAGGCCAAGAAAACAAAAAGCAACATTTCATCTACTTTGACATGGAAACATGGTACCTAACTTGATTTTTTAAATATCTGGAGAAAACTGTCAAGAACTGTGAGTAATTTGAGATTTTATCCTATATGCAAGCTAGCATGTTAGCCTCTTACAGTTTTATACATGTCAGAAGACACTAGAGGTAATGGACTGTATTATGCATAGCACAGCAGGCAGCATGAGCTTTATATACTCAGTGGTCCCCTGTTGTTTTCCAAGTCCCAGAGGGATGATACAGAGACAGGCATTTGTGAACAAATGCCATTGAGAATGATCTCCCAAAAGGACAACAACTGAAGTGGCATTTAGTTTATCTCTTTCCCTTAAGATACATTATGTTTTTAACATTGCAGGTAATTTATTAAGACATATTTAGATTTATTTTACTTTTATTTTACATTGCCTTCATTAAAATGTGATGATAAACCTTCAAAACATGGTAGTTACAAAAATTATATCTATTGGTATGACATATGAAGTCCAAAATGATAGTTCCAATTACTAGGTAATTCTTCTTCAAGTCATAGTACAATAAGTCTAGCTTATTCCACAGTGTTATTCTGCCATGCTCAACACAAGGTTTCCAAGTTTGCTATGTGGGTGATCTCCATTCTAACCAGCTGAAAATGAAAAAGATCTCAGTGGATCATATATGGGAGAGGTTTATGTTGCATGGGAGGGAAAATTGTTTTCTCTCTACACTTTTTGAGTTCTGAATTCTCCAGTAACAAACAACAGATTAACAAGAAAGGAAACAAACAGAAGCTTATTAACATGTATACCTAATGTATACCCGAGAGATACCCAGAGAAGTGAGTACATTTTAAAGAGGTGCCTTAGAGTTCAGACTTCAACTGAAACAAAGAAAGAAAGGCCTTGGGGTGATAATGCAACTATGGGAGGTGAGCAGGAAAAGCACAGTAAACAAGGGTAAGATTTGTTGTGCAGATTTAAGTCTGTGCCTTCTACATTGACAAGCTTTTCTAATAATTTAGAGTCATTCATCTCTCCCTGGAGCAGAGTGGGAGGGTTCCCTTACAAATGGAAATTTCCTTTATAGGTGCAAATTTTTCTTACAAAAGGATAACTTCTACTCTAATTTCAGAGCTTCCCCTTGTCTGTAGTTTCTCAAAAAAAAAAAAATCAGCTCAAAATCATCCTTAAGCCAAAGATGCATATTTTGGGGTGGCATATTTTGGTATCCTATAATGGGCTTGAAAGTGGCAAACATTTTATCTGCAATCCACTGATTACCCTGTGGTCATATGATCATATCTAACTGCAAGGAAAGCTGGGAAATGTAGTTTAGTTTTGTGTTTAAGATGAGGAATTGATTTTAGTAGTTTGGGTCATAAATTTAGGCTTTTAAAAATCCGTCTCTAGAAGAAAATATCTAAAATATACATGGAATTTCATTTTGAATATTTCTGTGTGCTTTGAGTAGATCCACTATGGTACAGAATTTATTTCAAATTACTTTCCCACAAACTGAATGTAATTTTGATGTGACACAAATGCATTATTTGTTAATCCTTTATGTCACATAGAAATTTAGGGGATTCAACAGCATGATTTAAATCCAACTCAAAGGAATGTTTATAAATGGAATGCCATAAAATAGCAAAAATGAAAAAAAAATGAGGATATTGAAATGCTTGTATCCAAAGAAATCAAAACCATTTCAGGGAACAGGGATCTTCCTTAAATATTTTATTATATTTAGAAGAAAGTAAGAAATCTGGTTTATTTATAATGGTCCCTGGCTCAACTTATTTATCCCCACTGCATGCAGAGAAGAAAGGAAACAGCTTAGCAAGGTCATAAGCCCCGGCCACATGGATAGAAATAAAAAGGGTGAATCAGCTTCTTATGAGTAAAATGTAACTTACTGGATGGCTTAGATCTTTGAACAATTTTATCAGAAATCCCTCCTTCCTTTTGAGGAACTAGAAAGCATACCAATATTGGGAATGAAGAATAGCTGTTTTTTTTCTCTACTTATATCTATCTTACTCTAAATTGAATTTAATTTTTTTAACCACTTCATTTTAGTTTCTCATGTTTATAATCTCACTGTGATATTAGCATTGTTCAAATGTGTTTTGTGCATGATCTCTGCTTTTATCTCTCTGTATATTCTCAGCATTATTCAGAAACCATTTTTCTCCTTGTTGCTACGTGCAGTTTCTAGGGTATTTTTTGCCATTAATTTTGTTTCTCAAAATAACCTCCACACTTTCTCTTTGAGAAGAAGCCTCACAGAATGAATAAACATTCTAAATCAAGCTAATATCAGAAGATTTTAGTCTTAAAAAGTGAACAGGTGTCATCATTCCTCTCAGTTATTATGTTTAATGATAATGTTGGAGATACCTTCTTTAAATATTTAGTTTAATATGCTACACAGAAATTTGGAGAAAGCTAAGAATTATATGTTTAATCTTCTTTTTACTCTCCCTGCTCAAAACCTGTTAGAGCATGCTGTTCCAACTACAACAAAAACAGATACCATTTATTTAGCACTTACTGTTAGGGGTTCAAGGCCAAGCACTCCTTTCTCTTCCACATCAGGGTTCTGGCTGAAGAAATATACACATGAGGGTCTCTAGCCAAATGGAAATCAAGTAGCAATTTTACTAATTTGTGTAAGCAACTTAAAATGCCAAATGCAGGCAATCTTTTGCATGTTGGAGTGAAGAAAGACCAAGAGCTTACATAAAGGTCTAAAATGGCATCAACTCTCACAAACCAACCCTCAATCTTGAATCTTCTTTACTGTGATGTGCTACAGGAAGAGCTGGATCTGAAAGGGCCCAGGTAGCCACGAAGAAGAAAACTGCAATATTGTCTAATGCGCAAAGTACTCAAATTTACTTGTGAGGAAGCAAGAATTCCAGGATACTTTCTACGTATATTTTACATAAATTAATAAAAAAAGAAAGAAAGATGTTAGAGATGAAAACAAGCTGGGGAGAGTTGTTGCCTTCGCTATTTTGTGGAGGTGTGTTTTATAAAATGGTGGTTTTTTTTAATGTAATGCATGATGGAATCTTTTGGGCACGGGATTTTCTTTGTAGAGTTATTTTAATAAGAAAATCAATGTCTTTAAAGGTCATGGGCATATTCAGACTTTCTGTTTCATCTTCTATCAGTTTTGGTAAATTGTATAACTTCATTTAACATTTTGGTGTAGGACAGTTCTCCAGGTGACAGACCCAGTTCTCCCCCATTTCCTCATCTGTAGTTCTCAAGAAAAACTGTAGAATGTGATGGGAATGCAATATTCTGAGACAAGGAGGGACTAGCTAGACCAGCCCAGGCTTTGTTCCAATCCCCACCTAGAAACAGGATGTCCCTCAACATGTTAGCCCAGCATGTCACATTGCCACTGGGGTATAAAATCTGGGAAAGCTGCTTTTTGGGTTTCCTCAGCTGTGGTGCGAATAGGGCACATCTAGAGGAGACTCTATCCACCCTTCATAGCTTTCATAAGTCTTGTGGGGCTGGCTCACAATGAATCCCAGGCCTCTCTTGTCCCTTGCTGCCTGTTTATAACGATAAATCTGCTTCATGTAATTTACCACATATAAGCACTTTCTGTCTCACCAGAACCCCGATGACAATTTGGTAACCAGCACACAGTGAATTTATTTCACACTTAGTAGTACAGGTATGCTACCTAATAATAATTTGTCTAAAAAAATCTTTAGCTAACTGATAAATAATTGTTTCAATGAATGAGTATGGAATATCTCTCCTTATTTTGTGTGTCCTCATTAATTTCTTGGTTTTTTTTCCCCTTTATCTTCTTATTCTCTGTAGTCTTCAGATTAGATAATTTCTTTTTCTTAAACTTTTAAGTTCAAGGGTACATGTGCAGGTTTGTTATATAGATAACTTGCAGGTCAAATGGATTTGATGTACAAATTTTCTCATCACCCAGGTGATAAGCATAGTACCTGATAGGTAGTTTTTTGATTCTCACCCTACTGACACCCTCCATTCTGAAGTAAACTGTGGTGTCTATTGTTGCCTTCTTTGTGTACATATGTACTCAGTGTTTAGCTTCCACTTATAAGTGAGAAAACATGGTTTTGGTATTCTGTTCCTGGATTGGTTTACTTAGGTTAATGGACTCCAGCTCTATCTATATCCTTGCAAAGAACACGAGTTTTTTCCTTTTTTATGGTGGCATAGTATTCCATGATGCATATGTACAACATTTTCTTTATCCAGTCTACCACTGATGGTCATATAGGTTGATTCCATGACTTTGCTATTGTGAATAGTGCTGCCATGAACATATGCATGCATGAGTCTTTATGGTAGAACAATTTATATTCCTTTGGGTAAATACCCAATAATGACATTGCAGGCTTGAATGTTAGTTCTGTTTTAAATTCTTTGAGAAATCTTCAAACCGCTTTCTACAGTAGCTCAACTAATTGGCATTCCCACCAGCAGTGTACTTTCTAAGTCACCACAACCAATATCCAGTTTCTGTGGTTGTCTTATAAACTGTGCAATGGCTACTCAAGCCCAAAGGCACATGAATTTTTCGTTGTAGTTTTAACTTCCCTGAACTATGCTGACCATGTCCTAATATAAGGCTAATAGTCATAAATGTTGGAAACTCATTCAACGTTGTTTTCTTCCATATTAAAATTTCTTCCATGGATTATCTCTTTTCTTTGATGCTTGCTGCTTTTGCTTTGCAGAAGCTTTTTAGCTTGCAGTCTTACACAAAAAAAGCTTGCCCAAACAAATGTCCTTGAGCATTTCCCCAATGTTTTCTTCTGGTAGTTTCACAGTTTCAGGCTTTATATTTAAGTCTTTAATTCATTTTGATTTGACTTTTGTTTATGGAAGAGATAGAGGTCTAGTTCCATTCTTCTAAATACAGTTCTCCAGTTTTCCCAGCACCATTTACTGAAGAATGTGTCCTTTCCCCAATGTTCTTATCACCCTTGTTAAAAATGATTTGGGATGTAAATGTGTGGATTTATATCTGGATTTTCCGTTCTCTTTCGTTGGTCTATGTGTTGTCTCTTTTTATGCCAGTACCATCCTGATTTGCTAATTATAGCTTTGTAGTACATTTTGAAGTCTGATTGTATGATGCTTCCAGCTTTGTTCTTTTTGCACAGGATTGCTTTGGCTATTTGGGGTCTTTTGTGGTTTCATATAAATATCAGGGTTGTTATTATTTCTGTAGAGAATGTTGTTGGTGTTTTGATAGGGATTGCATTGAATCTGTAAGTTGCTTTGGGTAGTACTGTCATTTTTACAATATTAATTCTTCCAATCCAGGAGGATGGAATATCTTTTTATTTTTTGTGTCGTCTTCAATTACTTTTATCAGTGTTTTATAGTTTCCCTTGTATATATATTTCATTTCTTTGACTAAATTGGTCCCTAGGTGTTTTACATTCTTTGTAGCTATGTAAGTGGGATTGCTTTCTTGATTTCCTTTTTAGATTGTTCACTGTTGGTATATATATAAATCCTACTGATTTTTGCATACTGATTTTGTATCCTGAAAGTTTGATGAGTTTGTTTATCAGTTCTAACAGTGATTTGGTAGAGTTTTTGTTTTTGTTTTTTATTTTATTTTATTTTATTATTATTATACTTTAAGTTTTAGGGTACATGTGCACAATGTGCAGGTTAGTTACATACATATACATGTGCCATGTTGGTGTGCTGCACCCATTAACTCATCATTTAGCATTAGGTATATCTCCTAACGCTATCCCTCCCCCCTCCCCCCACCCCACAACAGTCCCCAGAGTGTGATGTTCCCCTTCCTGTGTCCAGGTGTTCTCATTGTTCAATTCCCACCTATAAGTGAGAACATGCGGTCTTTGGTTTTTTGTCCTTACGATAGTTTACTGAGAATGATGATTTCCAATTTCATCCATGTCCCTACAAAGGACATGAACTCATCATTTTTTATGGCTGCATAGTATTCCATGGTGTATATGTGCCACATTTTCTTAATCCAGTCTATCATTCTTGGACATTTGGATTGATTCCAAGTCTTTGCTATTGTGAATAGTGCCGCAATAAACATACGTGTGCATGTGTCTTTATAGCAGCATGTTTTATAATCCTTTGGGTATATACCCAGTAATGGGATGGCTGGGTCAAATGGTATTTCTAGTTCTAGATCCGTGAGGAATCGCCACACTGACTTCCACAATGGTTGAACTAGTTTACAGTCCCAACAGTGTAAAAGTGTTCCTATTTCTCCACATCCTCTCCAGCACCTGTTGTTTCCTGACTTTTTAATGATTGCCATTCTAACTGATGTGAGATGGTATCTCATTGTGGTTTTGATTTGCATTTTTCTGATGGCCAGTGATGGTGAGCATTTTTTCATGTGTTTTTTGGCTGCATAAATGTCTTCTTTTGAGAAGTGTCTGTTCATGTCCTTCGCCCACTTTTTGATGGGGTTGTTTGTTTTTTTCTTGTAAATTTGTTGGAGTTCATTGTAGATTCTGGATATTAGCCCTTTGTCAGATGAGTAGGTTGCAAAAATTTTCTTCCATTTTCTAGGTTGCCTGTTCACTCTGATGGTAGTTTCTTTTGCTGTGCAGAAGCTCTTTAGTTTAATTAGATCCCATTTGTCAATTTTGGCTTTTGTTGCCATTGCTTTTGGTGTTTTAGACATGAAGTCCTTGCCCATGCCTATGTCCTGAATGGTATTGCCTAGGTTTTCTTCCAGGGTTTTTATGGTTTTAGGTCTAACGTTTAAGTCTTTAATCCATCTTGAATTAATTTTTGTATAAGATGTAAAGAAGGGATCCAGTTTCAGCTTTCTACACATGGCTAGCCAGTTTTCACAGCACCATTTATTAAATAGGGAATCCTTTCCCCATTGCTTGTTTTTCTCAGGTTTGTCAAAGATCAGATAGTTGTAGATATGTGGCATTATTTTTGAAGGCTCTGTTCTGTTCCGTTGATCTATATCTCTGTTTTGGTACCAGTACCATGCTGTTTTGGTTACTGTAGCATTGTAGTATAGTTTGAAGTCAGGTAGTGTGATGCCTCCAGCTTTGTTCCTTTGGCTTAGGATTGACTTGGCGATGTAGGCTCTTTTTTGGTTCCATATGAACTTTAAAGAAGTTTTTTCCAATTCTGTGAAGAAAGTCATTGGTAGCTTGATGGGGATGGCATTGAATGTATAAATTACCTTGGGCAGTATGGCCATTTTCACGATATTGATTCTTCCTACCCATGAGCATGGAATGTTCTTCCATTTCTTTGTATCCTCTTTTATTTCATGAGCAGTGGTTTGTATTCTCCTTGAAGAGGTCCTTCATGTCCCTTGTAAGTTGCATTCCTAGGTATTTTATTCTCTTTGAAGCAATTGTGAATGGGAGTTCACTCATGATTTGGCTGTTTGTCTGTTATTGGTGTATAAGAATGCTTGTGATTTTTGTACATTGATTTTGTATCCTGAGACTTTGCTGTAGTTGCTTATCAGCTTAAGGAGATTTTGGGCTGAGACAATGGGGTTTTCTAGATATACAATCATGTCATCTGCAAACAGGGTCAATTTGACTTCCTCTTTTCCTAATTGAATACCCTTTATTTCCTTCTCCTGCCTAATTGCCCTGGCCAGAACTTCCAACACGATGTTGAATAGGAGTGGTGAGAGAGGGCATCCCTGTCTTGTGCCAGTTTTCAAAGGGAATGCTTCCAGTTTTTGCCCATTCAGTATGATATTGGCTGTGGGTTTGTCATAAGTAGCTCTTATTATTTTGAGATATGTTCCATCAATAACTAATTTATTGAGAGTTTTTAGCATGAAGGGTTGTTGAATTTTGTGAAAGAACTTTTCTGCATCTATTGAGACAATCATGTGGTTTTTGTCTTTGGTTCTGTTTATATGCTAGATTACATTTATTGATTTGTGTATATTGAACCAGGCTTGCATCCCAAGGATGAAGCCCACTTGATCATGGTGGATAAGCTTTTTGATGTGCTGCTGGATTCAGTTTGCCAGTATTTTATTGAGGATTTTTGCATCAGTGTTCATCAAGGATATTGGTCTAAAATTCTCTTTTTTGTTGTGTCTCTGCCAGGCTTTGGTATCAGGATGATGCTGGCCTCATAAAATGAGTTAGGGAGGATTCCCTCTTTTTCTATTGATTGGAATAGTTTCAGAAGGAATGGTACCAGTTCCTCCTTGTACCTCTGGTAGAATTCGGCTGTGAATCCCTCTGGTCCTGGACTCTTTTTGGTTGGTAAGCTATTGATTATTGTCACAATTTCAGAGCCTGTTATTGGTCTATTCAGAGAGTCAACTTCTTCCTGGTTTAGTCTTGGGAGAGTGTATGTGTCGAGGAATTTATCCATTTCTTCTAGATTTTCTAGTTTATTTGCGTAGAGGTGTTTCTAGTATTCTCTGATGGTAGTTTGTATTTCTGTGGGATCGGTGGTGATATCCCCTTTATCATTTTTTATTGTGTCTATTTGATTCTTCTCTCTTTTTTTATTAGTTTTGCTAGCAGTCTATCATTTTTCTAAGTATAAGATTATGTAGTCTGCAAACAAGACTAATTCAACTCTTCCTTTCCAATCTAAATGCCCTTTATCTCTTTCTCTTGCCTAATAGCAAACTATCCATCTGAGGAGGGATTAATAACCAGAATATCTGAAGAGCTTAAGCAACCCAATAACAAAAGAGCAAATAATCCAAGTTAAAAATGGGCAAATGCCCCATAAATATGTAAAGGTATTATGCATAAATTGTTTAAAAGGAAAAAGATCTGAATAGATACTTCTCAAAAGAAGACATACAAACGGCCAAAAGTTATATGAAAAAATCCTCAACATAACTAATCATTAGAGAAATGCAAATCAAAATCACAATGCCATATCATCTCACCCCAGTTAAAATGGCTTTTTATCAGAAAGACAGGGAATAACAGATGTTGGCAAAGAGATGGAGAAAGGAGAACACTTGTACACTCTTCGTAGGAATATAAATTAGTACAGCCACTATGGAAAACTGTATGGAGTTTCCTTAAATAAACTAAAAATAGAAATACCATATGATCCAGCAATTCCACTACTGGGTATATATCCAAAAGAAAAGAAATCAATATATCAAAGAGATATGTGCACCCTCATGTTTATTGCAGCACTATTCACAATAGCCAAAATATGGAATCAACCTAGGTGTCCAATAAATAAAGAAAATGTGATATGTATACAAAATGGAATTTTATTCAGCCATGAAAAGAATTAAATTCTGTAATTTTCAGTAATGTGAATGAAACCAGAGGTCATTATGTTAAGTTAATTAAGCCAAGCTCAGAAAAACAAATATTGAATGTTCTCACTCATACACAGGAGCCAAATAAGTGAGTATCATGACAATAGAGAATAGACTGGTTGTTACCAGAGGCCAGGAAGGATAGTGGCGAGTTGGGGTTCATTAATGGGTGCAAATATACAGTTTGATGGAAGAAATAGGACACAGTGATTTATAGCTCAGTAAAGTGACTATCGTTTACAATAATCTATTGTATACTACCAAATAGCATTATTCAAATATTTCTAGCATAAAGAAAAGACAAATATTTATGGTGATGCAAAACCCAATTACACAGACATGATATTTATAAATTATATGGAAGTATTAAATTAGCACCTATTATAGATCAATATAAATAAATAAAATAATAAAAGAAAATTCCTTCTATGATATATCTAATTTATTTTTGATCTTCTAGAGGTTGTTGTTCAGAGTTAACAGTATTTATCTCTGGGGTGATTAATTTGTTATCACCTACTTGGCCCTCACAGAGGCAGAACATCAACTGTAGAAATTTTCCTTTATTTGGAGTTATGTTTTATTCTTTGTCATGTATTGTCTGGTAATTATGATTGCTCTACTTTGTGCAAAGTTGTGTCCTAGACACCAAGCTCTAGGCAGTATATAACATGCATAATGCTTTTCCATCTGTTTGAAGCATATGAGAAATAAAATCTATAATTACAAACCATGAAAAATTATGTGCTTTATAGAAATACATATGACGTTGAGACAGGGAATAGACAAAATGAGGGAGCTAAGCTACGAAGACGCAAAGACATAAGAATGGTAATATGAACTTCAGAGACTCATGGGAAAGCATGGGAAGGGAGTGAGTGATAAAAGACTACACAGTGGGTACAGTGTACATTGCTGGGATGATGGGTGCACCAAATCTCAGAAACTGCCACTAAAGAACTTATTCATGGAACCAAACACCACCTTTCCCCAAAAACCTATTGAAATAAAAATAAAATAAAATAAAATAAAAATAAAAGAGGCAAAATGACAGGGTAGCAACTTCTGATTCCAGAATTTGGTTGAATATACTAACATGGAACTCCTCCCACTAATAAGCCTGGAAAACACAAATGGGAACTATAATTAGCATGCTAAACCCATGAGCTCATATCATAGCTATATAGAGAAGTAAAGCTGAACATAAAATTTAATGGCAAAAGGTTATTGGTAATGTGAATACCCAAGGAATGACAAGTAAATTGTTCATGGGCCTATATGAGTCAGTGAGCTGTGACAGAGACCACAGTATAAAATGAAAGCTCTACTATGGCTGCCCCTTCCATAGAAAGGGTACTGAAAAAAAATCTATGCATTAACTCAAGAAAGTAGGAAGAACACTTTTTTTTCTTTAACATTTATTTTAAGTTCAGGGGTACATGTGCAGGATGTGCAGGTTTTTTGCACAAGTAAATGTGTGCCATGGTGGTTTGCTGCATAGATCATTCCATCACCTCAGTATTAAGCCCAGGATCCATTAGCTATTCTTTCTGATGCTCTCCCTCCCCACCCCAAAGAGGCCCCAGTATGTGTTGTTCGCCCCCAACCACGTGTTCTCATCATTCGGCTTCCACTTATAAGTAAGAACGTGTGGTGTTTTGTTTTCTGTTCCTGAATTAGTTTGCCGAGGGTAATGGCTTCCAACTCCATTCATGTCCCTGCAAAGGACATGATCTCATTCCTTTTTATGTCTACATAGTATTCCAAGGTGAATATATATTTTCTTTATCCAGTCTATCTTTGATGGGCATTTAGGTTGATTCCATGTCTTTGCTATTGTGAAAAGTGCTGCAATGAACATACACGTGCATGTGTCATTATAATAGAACAATTTATATTTCTTTGGGTATATACCTAGTAATGGCATTGGTGGATCAATCAGGAAAATACTCCCATTCACAATAGCTACAAAAAAGGATAAAACAGAGGCAGAGGTATTTCCGTCTCTAGGTCTTTGAGGCATCACCACACTGTCCTCCACAATGGTTGAACTAGTTTATACTCCCACCAACAACTTAAAAGCATTCCTTTTACTCTGCAACTTTACCAGCATCTGTTGTTTTTTGACTTTTCAATAATAGTTATTCTGACTGGCATGAGATAGTATCTCACTGTGGTTTTGATGTGCATTTTTCTAATGTTCAGTGCTGCTGAGCTTTTTTGTTTATTTTTATTTTATTATTATTTTTTGAGACAGCGTCTCGCTTTGTCACCCACACTAGAGTGCAGTGGTGCAATCTTGGCTCACTGCAACCTCCACCTCCCAGGTTCAAGCGATTCTTCTGCCTCAGCCTCCTGAGTAACTGGGACTAAAGATGTGTGCCACCACATCTGGCTAATTTTTGTATTTTTAGTAGGGACGGGGTCTTACCATATTGGCCAGGCTGGTCTTGAACTCCTGACCTTGTGATCTGTCCACCTTGGCCTCCCAAAGGAACTTTAAAAAAAATTTTTTTTTTGGCCGTATGTATGTCTTCTTTTGAGAAGTGTCTGTTCACGTCCTTTGTGCACTTTTTAATAACGTTGTTTGCTTTTCACTTGTAAATTTGTTTAAGTTCCTTGTAGACTCTGGATATTAGACCTTTGTCAGATGGATAGATTGCAAAAATTTTCTGCCATTCTATAGGTTGTCTTTTCACTCTGATAATAGTTTATTTTGCTGTGAAGAAGCTCCTTAGTTTAATTAGATCAGATTTGTCAAAATTTGCCTTTTTTGCAATTGCTTTTGGCATTTTCATCATGAAATCTTTGCCTGTGCCTATGTTCTGAATGGAATTGCCTAGATTTTCTTCTAGAGTTTTCATAGTTTTGGGTTTTATGTTTAAGTCATCAAACTATCTTTAATTTTTGTGTATAGTGTAAGGAAGGGCCCAGTTTCAATATTTTGCTATGGCTAGCCAGTTCTCCTAGCCCCATTTTATAAAATAGGGAATCTTTTCCCCATTGCTTGTTTTTGTCAGGTGTGTTGAAGATCATATGGTTGTAGGTGTGCGGTCTTACTTCTGAGTTCTCTATTGTGTTCCATTGGTCTATGTGTCTGTTCTCCTACCAGTACCATGCTGTTTTTGTAGTTTGATAGAAACAGCATTGAATCTCTAACTTGCTTTGAGCAGAGTGGCCATTTAAATAATGTTGATTCTTCCTATCCATGAGTATGAAATGTTTGTCCATTTGTTTGTATTGGATCTGATTTTGTTGAGCAGTGTTTTTTCTTGTAGAGATCTTTTATCGCCCTAATTAGCTGAATTCCTGAGTATTTTATCCTTTTTGTGGCTATTGTAAATGGGAATATTTTCTTGAATTGGCTTCCAGCTTGTCCATTATTGGGGTATAGAAATGCCACTGATTTTTGTCATTGATTTTGTATGCTGAAACACTGATACAGTTGCTTATCAGATCTAGGTGTCTTTGGGCAGGGACTATGGGGTTTTTTAGGAATAACATCATAATGTCTGCAAAGAGAGATAGTTTGACTTCCTCTCTTCCTATTTGAATGCCTTTTACTTATTTCTTTTGCCTGATTGCTTTGGTTAGGACTTTCAGCACAACGTTGAATAAAAGTGGTAAGAGTGGGTATTTTTGTCTTATTTTGGGTCTCAAGGAGAATGCTCCCAGCTTTTGCCCATACAGTTTGATGCCCATACAGTGGGTTTGTTATAGATGGGTCTTATTGTTTTGAGTTATGTCCCTTCAATGCCTAGTTTATTGAATGTTTTCCACATGAAAAGACATTGAGTTTTATCAAAGACTTTTCTGCATCTATCAAGATGATTTTTTTTTGCTTTAATTCTCTTAATATTACGAATCACATTTATTGTTTTGTACATGCTGATGCAAACTCTCATCCCAAAAGCTGACTTGATTATTGTGGATTAGATTTTTCATGTGCTGCTGAATTCCATTTGCTAGTATTTTGTTGAGAATTTTTGCATCTGTGTTCATCAGGGATATTGGCCTGAAGTTTTCTTTTTGGTCAAGTGTCAAATATCGTTCCAGAATACATTTCTTTGTTTACTGCCTCTACGATATATCTAATACTGTCAATAAGGTGTTGTAGACTCCCACTATGATTGTATGGTTATCTAAGTCTCTTCATGGATCTCTAATAGCTTGTTTTATGAATCTGGGTGCTCCAATGTTGGGTGCATATATATTTAGAATAGTTATGTCTTCTTGCTGTATTGAACACTTTATCAATATGTATTGACCTTCTTTGTGCTGTTTGATTATTGTCAGTTTAAAGTCTGTTTTGACTGAAATAAGAACAACAACCCCTGATCTTTTTCATTTTCCATTTGCTCGATTGATTTTTCTCCATCCCTTTACTTTGAGCCTATGTGTTATTGCATGTGAGATTAATGTCTTGAAGACAGCAGAAGGATAGGTCTTGCTTCTTTATTCAACTTACTACTCTACACCTTTTAAGTGAGGCATTTAGCCATATACATTCATTCGTAGTATTGATATGTGCAGATTTGATCTTGGCATTGTGTCATTAGTTGGTTATTATGTTCACTTGACTGTGTAGTTGCTTTATAGTGTCAATGGTCTATGTACTTAAGTATGTTTATGTGGTGACAGTAAGTCTCAGTCTTTTGTTTCCATGTTTAGCACTCCATTAAGGGATTCTTTTAATGCCAATCTCATGGTAATAAATTCCTTTAGTATTTGCTTTCGGAAAATAATTGTATTTCTCCTTCACTTATTAAGCTTAGTTCGGCTTGGTATGAAATTCTTGCTTGGAATTTCTTTTCTTTATGAATGCTGGATTTAGGCCTTCAATCTCATGTGGCTTGTAAGATTTCTGCTGAAGGGTCTGCTGTTAGTCTGATGAGGTTGCTTTTGTAGGTGACCTACCCCTTCTGTCTAGCTGCCTTTAACATTTTTTCTTTCACTTTGACCTTGAAGAATCTTATGACTCTGTGTCTTGGGGACTGTCATCTTTTATAGCACCTCACCAGGGTTCTTTGCATTTTCTGAATTTGAATATTGACCTCTCTGACAAGGTTGGGGAAATGTTGGTGGACCATATTCTCAAGTATGTTTTCCACGTGGCTTGCTCTCTCTTCTTCTCTTTCAAGGATGCCAATAAGTCATAGGTTTGATCTCTTTACATAGTACCATATTTCTTGGAGGTTTTGTTCCTTTTTTATTCTTTTTTCTTTACTTTTGTCTGACTGAGTTGATTTGAATAACTTGTCTTCAAGCTTTGAGATTCTTTCCTCATCTTAATCTATTCTCCCATTAATTCTTCTGGTTGTCTTTTGAAATACTTGTAGTGAGTTTTTCAGCTCTATCAGAACAGCTTGGTACTTTCTTAAAATGGCCGTTTTGTCATTCAACACTTGTATCTTCTTACTGAATTCTTTAGTTTTCTTGGATTGGGTTTTACCTTTCTCCTGAATCTCAATGATCTCTGTTGTCACCAAGATTCTGAATTCTATGTCTGTCATTACAGCCATTCCAGTCTGGTTAAGAACCACTGATGCAGAGCTAGCATAGTCATTTGGAGGTAAGAAGAAATGAACTTTTTGAGTTGCCAGAATTCCTGTGTTAGCAGTATATAGTTTCTATTATGCCTATTAAAACATTATTTATTATACCTATATATCTGATTCATGTTATTTACCTCCTAGAAAATTCTTTACCATATACCACCCCTAATTGTAGGGAAGATACATCTAATGTTCATTTTTCATTTTTTATAAGGCTCCTCAGTTGTAAACTGTCAAAACTTAAATAATGTTTCAATTTTTTAGGCAATACATTATAGTGGCTTAGGATTCAGTAAGGTAATGATTTCAGATTACAGTGATTTAGTCATTTATACATAGAAACATATATTGGATTATTAAGTATTTTCTGTGACTATTTATTATATCACTATTTTAAAGGAATATTAAGAAGCCATTGATTCACGTGCCTCCTTAAAGATTGTTCATTATATTTTCATCCATTCATTCAACACTTATCAAGAACCAACAACGTAGTACCATAAATACTATGACACATACAAATCAGTATCTATCTTTTCTTTTTTCTTTTTTTTTTTTTTTTTTTTTGAGGTGGAGTCTCGCTCTGTTGCCCAGGTTGGAGTGCAGTGGCACTATCTTGGCTCATTGCAAGCTCCGCATCATAGGTTCCCGCCATTCTCCTGCCTCAGCCACCCAAGGAGCTGGGACTGCAGGCGTCCGCCACCACGCCCAGCTAATTTTTTTGTATTTTTAGTAGAGACAGGGTTTCACCATGTTAGCCAGGATGGTCTTGATCTCCTGACCTCGTGATCCGCCCGCCTCAGCCTCCCAAAGTGCTGGGATTACAGGCATGAGCCACCACGCACGGCCGAATCAGTATCTATCTTTAAAAAGCTTACAATTTAGTATGAGAAACATGAATTGTGACAACTGCTTGGGTAGTTATATGCA
This sequence comes from Homo sapiens, assembly GCF_000001405.40. Classification (NCBI taxonomy): domain Eukaryota; kingdom Metazoa; phylum Chordata; class Mammalia; order Primates; family Hominidae; genus Homo; species Homo sapiens. Next base: position 96,328,452 of record NC_000004.12, on the reverse strand, counting down.
TAATACTAAAATACTTAATATTAAAGAAATATATTTTATTTGGATTGGGAGAGGTAAGGGTCAGAGAGTCAGGTTTCATTTAAACATTAGTGGTAAAGCATATAGATGAAAAAATAGATTTAATGCACTGATCTGTTTTTAATTATGTCCTCCTTACTGTTAGTAAAAAATTTTTAAAAAGTTAATAAAAAATTAAACACTTTCCAATCTTCTTCAATTGTTTCTAACCACATTTTGCAGACACTGGCATGTTGACAGGTAAAAAAGTCACAAAGTAAGGCATGGGGATTATCTTCTGATTTCATTATGTATCAAAAATATTTATTACAATCACTCATAAGAGAAATGTCTGGAAAAGGAGAAGAGAATTACTCAAGTACATGTGAGACTACTTATCAACAAAAAGTACTAGCAGTGGAAATTTTCAGATTATCACATTGTTGATCTTTATTCCTTTGGATTACTTTGATAGAAAAAAAATACTATGAGATCACAAAAACTATTTATATAAGGTAACTTCAATATACCAGTGATATGCTGAATCTTCAAGAGGCCATTCCAATATTCTATCAGGCCTCCTGTTTCAGGTATCTGGAGAATACAGAAAGATCAGTTAATTCTTTGAACATGGGTCCATTACTTCACTTTATTTGTTCTAAAGGGAGTTCTTGGATCAGAAGTAATGCTATGTGAAATAGCATGATGGTATATAAGATATTCTGTAAATGCATGGATGGGAGTTTGGCAAAAACATTGGGAAAGCAAATCCATATCCAGTGTGTCTATACAAGTCAGTACAAAGCACTGACTGCCATGATAGAAATGGTTAATACATCAATCAGCCAATCAACCTGCCACCAGGTAGCAGGCTGATCACCCCAGGGAGTAGTGCCATACTGAGGATTCAGCATTCATCTCTGCTGCTCCCAGATTGGGCATTCAGCAGTGGCTGTATCAAGGCCATCCTTGGTGAAAGTCCATGTTGCTAAGCCTATGCATAAACTCCACATCTTCCTCCAGGGACATTTTTTGTAATGAGTCAATAAGGTAATAACAGGATTAGGAGTAGCTAGGGAAATACAGTCATTCTATTTACTTGATTATTAACATTATTATTAAGTTACATTATTAACATTTTCCTCTATGGGGGTCACCTTCTGATGAATATTTACATAATATACAAATATATCACATTCTTTGCCCATTTAGAGAGATTTATCTATATATTCACTTTCCCAACTTCTGCATTACCTATTTTCCAATCATATTCCTTTCCATGTCCATGAACACCCAGCCAAACCATTGGCTAACTAGTGTCTACAGACCATGAATCAATAGACACTCAGAACTCTGGAATTTCTGCTTCAAGGGAAAACAAAACACAAAGTACACTGCTCTAAATTCTGCCCTCTGGGATAATTTTTCTTCACCATTGTACTTTAAGGATGTCCCATAAAGGTGCTAAATGCTGTGGTTTTTGGATGGTGACTACCTATTGTGCTAAGCCATCTGAAAACCAGGCCAGAGTTTTCTCAACATCGGTTGACTGATGAACAGTCAACTGTTCAAAGAGTGCTTCTCATCAAGCCATAGGTGTGGGGAGAGAGAGAGAAAGTAACGTAGCAAGAGTAAGGGCATTTGCCAACTTCTTCATTTAACTTATGCCTTCAGGGCCTGCTTAAACTGAGATATTTCTGTATCTCTCTCTCTATCTATCTATCTATCTATCTATCTATCTATCTATCTATCTATCTATCTATATTAGATTAGAGAGAGAGAGAGAGAGATAATCTAACCCACCAAGCCATATATCTATATATGATGGATTGCTCGTGTCGCTTTTCCAGTTGGTGGCCTGTGGATAACTGTTTAGTCTCTACTAATGCTCAGTAGCAAGCCAAAAGCTGTTTCTCAAAAGGAAAGTAGTTATTCATAGAGTATAGAATGACTGTGCTCCAAAATACTAAGGGTCTGCACTGTGATTCATAAACACTCCAAACAACATCCCTATCTGCCACTGACACTCTAAACACCATTGGATCTGATCATTGTATGGCCTAAGTGGCCCATCAGTTTGCATGGCAGCCTGTGTCTTTTGTAGAGCCTTCTCTTGTTCTGGACTTCACTCAAAACTAGCAGCTCTTTTTGGTTACTCACTGAAGGGACCAGAATATCATACCCAAAGGAGGAACATGTCACCTATAAAATCCAAAGAAAACTGCTAAGCTTTGTGCCTCTGTTTTGGTTGCCAGAGGGGCCAGGTGCAACAACTTATCCTTCATCTCAAAAGGAACAGATCAACATATTCTACCTCACTGGGTCCCTAGAAAGTTAACAGAGGTTGAAAGGCCATGACTTTTGTAGAATTATTTCCCATCCTTTAATACACAAGTGTTTTACCAATATGTCTTGAATATTTGCTACATTTTGTTTGCTAGGTCTGATTAGCATATCATCAATATAATAGACCAAGATAATATTTGGTGGGAAGGAAAGGTGATCAAGGTGCCTGTGGACTAAATAATAACATAGGGATAGAGAGCTGAAATACCCCTGAAGTAGGACAGTGAAATTGTCCTGCTGAAAGCAGGCTGCTTCTGGTGGTCTTCACTTACAGGTGTCAAGCAAAAAAACATTTGTCAGCACAGAGATACCAGGGGATGTGTTAATTTGCTCAACTGATGAAAGCACAACTTGGAATAGAAACTTGAACTGGAATCGCCACATAATTAAGTTTAAGATAATACACTGTCATTCTCTAAGAACCCTCTGTTTTCTGCAGATACCAAATCAGTAAGTTGAATAGGAATATGGTGGGAATCACTACCCATTCATCCATCAAGTTTATTACAGTGGCACTAATGTTTGCAATCCCTCCATGAATGTGCTATTGCTTTGGGTTTACTATTTTTACAAGAAAAGTTAGTTCAAGTAACTTCTGCTTGGGGTTCCCACCATAATAACCCTCACTCCACAGGTCAGAACAACAATGTGGGTATTCTACAGTTGCTGAACATGTCTTTTCCAATTATGCATTCTGGAAATGGGGAAATTACCACAGTAAGGGGTCAGGGACATGCTGAGTCCACTGTGAGATGAACTTTGGCTAAAACTCCATTGATCATCTGACCTCTGTTAAGTCCTTACTCCAACTGATAGACCATAGTGACATTTTGTGTCTTCTGGAACTAGTGCCAGTTCAAGGTCAATGTCAAGTAATTCCTGAAAAGTATGATACTTTCCTTTCTCTCAATGTACAGTAACCCTGCTAAATGGCCATAACTCACTTTGGGGGCAGGCTAAGATAAACAGTACAATTTTGGCTGTGTAGCAGGGTCTTTCCTCAAGGAAAGCATGAAGAATCCTTGAATGAAGAACCCTACATTCAAGGGGTTCTTATCTATAAACTGGCATAAGTCTGGGAATTGATCGAGAGGCAGAGACTCTGTTCTGGTGATTCAAGTTAGACGTCTGTTCACTCAACTAAAAACTCTTCTGCTTACATGAATCAAGTAAGGATTTAGTTGACCGTCAAACTATTTATTACCTTTCTAAGGACTCCGTGATCAACTAGCCAAGGCTATAGGTTTCTGGATTGCTTTGGCTCTGCTCTCTGCTAGGGTAACTACAACTACCCGTTCTTGGGCAACCAAGTATCAACACTTAGCCCCTTCCACTCCAGAATCCCATTTTCCCCTTTGCATTTAGGGTTGCCAGTTTGATGGTAGCATTTTACACTTGAATTTATGATTGGCATAGAAGAGTAATCCAGGATTCTGGGCCTTCCCTCAAAAATTTATTTCTCCCATTTGCAGTGAAAGGTGTGTTCTATGAACCCTCCTAGTGTAGATGAACATTTCTTGACATGATTAATCTACACTAACATTCCAATCTCTCTAAGCCCTCTGGATATCCTACTCTATAGTATTCCAAATCATTTCTGACATTTCAGCTTCTTTTAGTAGAGCTCTCTTTGGGTCCATATTTTAGCCAATAAGCCAAAAAATTGTTATAGCCATTCCCAATACCTTGAGTAAAAACACTGTCCAGAATCTCTGCTTAGTGGGCCTTTATTAATCAATTAGGCCTAATCTAACTTTATGTTCTTTCCCTCACTATCCACACCCTTATGATCTATACCCATACATGTTCTTCAGATTTCTGCCTGTATAAATTCAGAATAATCATGCCGTTCTTTTAGTGTGTGGAACATCTATTCATGGGTTACACTTTGTACCGTACCCTTTGGAGCCTACTAAAACCTAGTCTAATTATGATTCTAGAACGAAGAGGGGAGACTGGAGTAGCACTTGTCTAGAATCAACAGTGGCTTGCAAGGCGATTAACTCAGAAAGGTAATATGGTTTAGCTGTGCCCCTGCCAAATCTCAACTTGAATTGTATCTCCCAGGATTCCCACGTGTTGTGGGAGGGACTCAGGGGGAGGTAATTGAATCATGGGGGCAAGTCTTTCCCATACTATTCTCATGATAGTGAATGAGGAATGAGTCTCACAAGGTCTGATGGGTTTATCAGGGGTTTCCGCTTTTGCTTCTTCTTCATTTTCTCTTGCCACTGCCACATAAGAAATGCCTTTCTGTCACCCAGGCTGGAGTGCGGTGGCATGATCTTGGCTCACTGCATCCTCCGCCCCTTGGGTTCAAGTGATTCTCCTGCCTCAACCTCCTGAGTTGCTGGGATTACAGGTGCACACCACCACACCCAGCTAAATTTTCTATTTTTAGTAGAGACGGGGTTTCACCATGTTAGTCAGGCTGGTCTCAAACTCCTGACCTCGTGATCTGCCCACCTTGACCTCCCAAAGTGTTGGGAATACAGACATGAGCCACCGTGCCCGAGAATATCCCTACTTTAACAGAAGACACCCTGGGAGGTAAGGAATTCAATTTGCTTTGTAATCCCACCCTTCAAGAGACAGTCTTGAGTTTGGTTTTCTAAAATCTCAGTCCTATGATTACAAAACATAAAGGTTTCTTTCAAGGAAAATATAGAAGCTTTCAGGTCATTCAAACTCAGCTTGAGATGGGAATTTGACATCATGAGCGCATCCTTATCTCCCCCTACTTTTTCCAGTGCTATGAGGACCAGCCATCTCATATCATTATACTCTTCAACTTGACTACTATAAAGTATCAACTATTAATACATTGTCACCCAGTGACTTCTCTTCTATATGTATTTGATTGGGGGTATGCAAAGGTAATATTTCTATTGCCACATCATGTCATGGATGACCAGTGCCCTCTTTACCACTGAAAATAGAGGCATTAGTACCTTTAGATCTAATCAGATTAGAGTAGCAATTCAATAAAACCCAGAACCTATTCAGAAAACATAATCCGTAATATTCCTTAATCCTTAATTTATTAATATTCATAACCTCTGTTGAATCCTGACTAATATAAATGCTGGTACCAGAAGTAGGAAACAGCACATATATATATATTTTTTTTAACAGAGAAACAGAACCAGTTGTATGTATACAATATAATATATTGAATATATTATACATAAATAATATATATTAATAACATATAATATATTCAATATGTTATATGTTGAATATATGATATATATTCAACAAAAATATATTATGTTGAATATATATGATATAATATTATGTTGAATATTCTGATATATATATAACATGACCAGTTTTATATATATACCTATATCTATTATTTATAATAAATAATTATACATAAACAGAAACTGGTTCTGTTTCTGTGTTGAACATATATTATTTTGGCTTATACAATTGTGGGGTATTGCAAAGCCATTCTAAAATATCTAAGGCTGGTTGTTGGAGAGGGCAGGCTAGAACTATTGGTCACGAGTGGAAGCTGATCTCCATAGGCAGACTTTTTTCTTCTTCAAGGAAGCCTACATCTATTTCCAAGGCCTTTCAACTGATTGACTTTGGTAAAGTCCCTTACTTAGTCATTGATTATGGATTATAGTCACATTTCCAAAATACCTTCACAGTAAGGATTAGATAAGTGTTTATTGAGAAACTGTTTACCCTAATATAACACATAAACTGATCATCATAATAGGGATCAAGTTTATTATTTCAAATACTGGTAAATCTAGAAAAATAATAAAGCATAAATCTTGCTATTTCCTTAATAACTATATCACTGGGTATCCAAATAATAAATGAGGGAAATGTATAACAGAATCTAGAAGTTTGTTGTTCCCAGCTCTATGGTGTCTGTCCGTATATCACCGTATGAATTATTGAGATCCAATTTGAAAAAGTATATCATCTAACAAATGATCAAGAAATGATAGAAGATAATATCACCATGCAGTCACCCCAGTGAGTTAATGGATCTAGGCATTGAGCATAAATAAAAACGAGAGAAAACTAGACATTGTCTGTAGTTGAAAAAAAACATACCACCATTTATAACCTTTCCAGAGGTTTGGACATGAGTCTCATCAGGCCTCTATACCCAGCTGCCAATTTGCTTAAAATACAGAGAGAGGAAAAAGGAAAATTTTAAACCATACTATGCATACAGAATCCAGACTGTATAAAATTTTTCATATCAAATAGTCTAAGTTTATCAACAGATGAATTATAAAAAACTAAAAAATGGATGGGGGTCTGTATGCTAAAAATAATCATAAAAGCTATATCAATCTTTTTAAAGAACATATTGTTTAAATACACACACTTGGGTGATACTCTGAAAAAATAGCTGTTTACATGGTAGATTATTTTTTATAATTAAATGCTTCAGAATATCAACTACAACATTCTACATTTTCATGACTCTCTTAAGGAACCAGATTTTCTCTTGTTTGGTGCATAAGATCCATGTAAATTAGAATTTTTGCTACATGGATTCTTGATACTAGGAGGAAACACCAGCATGTAAGTTATTATCAGGAGATCTCATAATTTTTATATCTATCTCTTGGTACGTTTAACATCATTTCTTTTCTTTTTTCTTCTAATTAGCAGAACCATTCATCTTTGTGGAACTTGCTCTTTTGTCTTCAAATACAACTGAAACTAGTACTCCCCATTCACAGTCTTGTGCCCATTTTGCAGGCTTGGCAAGTCAAGGTGTATAAACCCATGGCTACAGTAACTGATACAGAAAAGAGAAAGAGATTCACTTGCTCAACAAATACTTGTGACAAAATTAGACCAATCAGAGTTCTTCCAAGGGCATTTTTCCACTAAAATAGAATGCCATTTTCCCACTGGCATTGATAGGCTATTAGGATGTGAGTTGGGTTCTGCCAGTAGCCTTTTCACCAAGCATGTGGACAGAGAGTTTAAGCACGAGAGAAACATAGCCTTGACATTATTAATTTCATGAATTCAGCAGTGCCTAAACTATGGACGATAGACTTCCCAGTTATAGAAGCCAGAAAATTTTGTTTGGTATTATTACTTGTATCTAAAAGATTTTCAGTAACATATTTAAGTATATTTGCAGATTTCTAGGACATTAAACAATATGGAAACTATGGATATCATAAGCTAAGACTACCTCATTGCTAAAGACTGTAAGGCATGAATTTTATGCAATGTGAGAGAATAGAATTGGAAGAAGATTTGAGAACATATCTTCATATGAAAGCACAGATGCATTTTAAAAATGTGTTTTATTTGGTCAGAAATGTGTCTAGTAAGATGTTTACAGTCAATAAAATTTCTTCAAATTCTACAAGTTGAATTAAGCTTTGTATAATCCCCATTACTCTGTGGCCCTAGCCATAGATAGTTTGATTTCTATGTGCCTGATAGACAACTAGATGAAAGCATCTTACTGGTAGCTGGAAATGTAGAATTCAGGCCAAGGAATAAGTTTAAAGAAAGGAAAAAGTGAGTTCATTTTGAGGAGAAAATTGCATGTAATTATTTATCCAAAGATTGTATTGCAGTGCCTGGAAAAAAGTGAGAACTACACTAATAATACAAGGGTGATTATGAGGCAATCAGCAGAAAGTCATTTGTGATTAGGAATTCAGAACCATTAAATTTATATCTTAAAATTACTTCAAATTTTATCTGTTATATGCGTCTGTACTTTTGCTTACATAGTAACTATTTTAAAGTTAATATGTATAAGGCCATAATCACTAGGATATATGAATATATGTGTGCATGCATATTTACATTTTTTACAAAGATTAGAATGCTGGTAGTTTATTTGAAGGTAGTTATTATTTCCTAAGCAAGTTAGTTTCTCTGACATTTAATATCCTTTTATATAAAATTAATAAGTTGAATCATGTCATGCAAGTTAGACATATCTAAGCATGCAAAAGAATGCCAAAGCTTGTATTTTAACTATGAAACAGCATGTGCATACTTGGAGAAATACTCTAAGCAAAAATCATCATTGCCTCTTGTGAACACTGTTTGAGTGAAGGAAATAATTCATTGAACAAGAAAAGCAATTGTATTTTGAAAAAATACATATAAATAATAAAAATATACTACATGGTTTATTTCACCACAAAGGACAGAAGATGCAAGTACAAAGCCTGGAAAATATATTTTGTGTATAGTATTTTTATACATTAAAAAAACAGGCACAGTGTCTCGTTCCTGTAATCCCAGCACTTGGAAGGCTGAGGTGGGTGGATTGCTGGAGACTAGAATTTCGAGACCAGCCTTGGCAACATGGAGAAACACTGTCTCTACAAAAAACACAAAAATTAGTAGAGAATGGTGGTGTTTGCCTGTAATTCCAGCTACTTGGGAGCCTGAGACAGGAGGATCAATGGAGCCAGGGGAGATTGAGGCTTCAATGAGCTGTGATTGTGCCACTCCACTGGGTGGAGAGTGGGTAACAGAGTAGGACCCTGTCTCAAAACAAAACAAAACAAAAAAGGAAAGAAAAGAAAGAAACCAATAAAGTCCCTAAGCCATTTCCTCTAACTAAAAAACATCATTTATCAAGAACTTGCTATAGGTTAGGATTTTTTTTTTTTTTTAGACAGAGTCTCACTCTTGCCCAGGCTGGAGTGCAATGGCAAAATCGGCTCGCTGCAACCTCCACCTCCCAGATTGAAGCGATTTTCCTGCCTCAGCCTCCAGAGTAGCTGGGATTATAGGCACTTGCCACCACGCCCAGCTAATTTTTGTTCTTTTTAGTAGAGATGGGGTTTCACCAGGTTGGCCAGGCTGGTCTCTAACCCCTGACCTCAGGTGATCCACCCACCTCGGCCTCCCAAAGTGCTGGGATTACAGGCAAGGCGTGAGGGCCGTGCCCAGCCGGCAAGGATTTTTAAACACCATGTTTTTAACAACAATCTGACTTGTTGGGTAGTAGAGTAGAAAAATGGGGCACTAAAAGATCAGTGTACTTCTCCAGGATCAAATAACTTCGAGGGGATTGGATCAATTCAGAACCAGATATGTTTGTTTCAGAGTCCTACAAACTTCCATTATGTCAAATTTTCTCATTAAGGTAATAGCAATCTTAATAATATAATGCTGATAGTAACAACAGTACTAACAATTTAAGTAGTACCAGATACTGTCTAAAATGCTTTATATATGTTGTGCCATTTATTTTTTATAGCATTCTTATAAGGAATGCGGTACTAATCGTACCATTTAGCAGATGAGCACGCTGAAGGAACTTACTCCAAATCATACAGTGACAGGACCTGTTCACTGCCTGTCTAAATAAATTATATTAGCTCTCAGATAGCAAAGAAAATAAAATCAACCATTTCTGTGTTTAGTGGAATCCATCAGAAAATATTCATTGAAGCTTCGAATTTGTCTTTTCTTATTTAGCTTAAAAATTACTTATCAAATACAGTTTTTGTTATGAATATTGTATTGGGATGCTATATATGTAAATATATCTAAAATTTTATTTTAAAAACCTTTATAAAGAAGACATCTCAAATTTGCTAAGTGGTTAAAAAAAGGTAAAATATTTTTAAAGTTTATGCTAAAACTAACCCCTTTAGCTTATTTTATTTATGAGAGCTTTTTCATGAGCATTATCTCACCAAGGCAATGCGTTCAGAATTTTAAATTTTGCATTGTAAATTACAGGATTTGATTTTAAAAGGAAAACAAAAACATTTACACATTTAAAAAAATATTACTTTGTTAAATCTATAGTACTTTTAGCATATCGGAATAGCTATAATTCATAAGAAAGGTGAAAAATAAATATTGATAAGGCACTTAGTAATATATAAAACTATGATAGTTCCAGAAGGGCTGCTTTGCAAGCACTCTAATACATGGAAAATTTCCAAGAAGTGTTCTGAAGTCTAATAATTATCATCCCAGATGCCGGATTGTGTCTGCGTGGGACGAGCTGAATGTGCTGTCACATCCGACAGAGTTGCCAATCTTAAACCAACTGTGACTACTCTCTGTACATTTCTCTCTCCGGGGCATTAAAAAAATCTTAATTAGCTTTTGTTTCCAAGCAGGGCGTCATTTTTCATGATGTTACTTTCATTTTTTTAGGATTATTACAATCAAATTGACCTTGACATTTCATCTACTACAATAAGTGTATATATTTATGCAATATCTAAATTCAAGTTATTAACAAGATAAAATCAGAGGTTTATTAAAAATACAAATGTCCCTTTAATATTGAAGCATGAGTTTGTTACATGCAATTTGGAATCATGTTTATATATTACACATTTATCAAAAAAGCTAACCTACTATTGGAGACTTGTTGATGACTTAAAAATGTTAATAATACAAATAGAAGAAAAGGTGTATATGATGTTATGAACCTATATTGATGATATAATCCATGCATAAATGCATATTTCCAGAATGGCAAAAAATACTTAAATAAAGTATATGTTCTAATTAGTTTAGAAAAACTTTAGAAAAGCTATAGTATAATATATTCTAAAGTTCTTTGAGTTCCCAAGAGGGAAAACATATACTAGTATAACATATTCAGATATTGTTCAGAGCCTGGTATTTTTGAGTAATTTAACCTAAATGCATTTTCATTATAAAGTGCAACTCATTTGAAATTTGTCACACAACTAACTTCAATTTGGGTATGTATCTTCACTTAGAGTTCAAGATCAGGTAAAATACCTCACAGCAAATGAAAGGAGAGGACCAATTGTCATTTACCTTTATAGATATTAATAGTGCGTTTAACAAGTAACAATATGCATCCTGCATTTAGCGAAGATGCTGCTTACTAATGACATCTCATTGCTTCACACAGCAGGGACACTCATTCTATTTGGGCATAACGACTGAGCTAACATCAGTTTTTAAGAATGTATATTATCATCATTCATTAGAGTACTACACTGAAGCTTCTCTGGGAGGCAATAAAGAACAAAATGTGTATTTTTAAAGACCATCATTTTCCCCCTAAATGCTTGAATTAAGCTGCAGTCTTTGGTGTTCAGAGAGTTGAGTTATGTCCTAAAGCAATGCTTCTTTTAGAGTACATCATGCCTGCAGATTGGGCTCTGATTAGCCTCTGAGTTTTCTAATACAGTCTATTGATTTTCTGCTACTGTGGCTGCCATTGGATTTTGTGTGCTGGCACACGGGTTCTGTCTTTTGCATAAGAGAATGATGAATGGTTGTCTGTGAGGCTCCAAGCACATACTTATTTCCTCTTCAATAAGGACACCCGTCAATATCATTTAAGTAAAGAAAAACACTGAGACAACCCGGCATGCCTACGAAACAATTTGGATTTTCTTCATATTCATTGTTAATTCTAACTAAACTATGCACATTCTCCAGAAAATTGGAAAGTGTATTCAGTAGTCTTAAATTCCTTTACCTTTAAGGTAGGGAAAAAATAAACTTTGTTTCTAAAGGTAAAAAATGCATTTATGTGAAATTATACTAGGAAAGAAATTTCATTTTTTTATTAGCCACAATACTGATTTAAAATGCAGACTAGCACTAAGTAATAAACCAGTATGCTGAACTCATTTTAAAAATTCTCACTTTAAATGAGTGCACAAATTATAATCCTGTGGAACTTCCTTACCTTTACACTACAAAAAGTTAATTTCTATGCTGACACTGATTTTTTTTTCCAGTAAAGATACCAGATTGTCTTAGATCAGGTTCACTACAAGCAGAGTCTCAGAAATGCATTTTTGTGCAAGTGATGTATTGAAGTGGTTTGGGATGACACCTGTAAAAAGTGAGGGAAGAAAAATAGGTCAGGGGGAAGCTAAGCACAGGTGGAGATGCAGGTAAAGTATGGCCTCAGCCTCATATTCCAGAGAATACAGGAGTGGAAATGGTACCACTCAACTTGCTTCCCATCTGGAAGCAAGGGACCAGTCTTTTTCTCACGGTTGGCAGTAAGTCATTAAGGCTGCCTGCAAGGTGGAAGAGAAGCACTGTTTCCCCAATATTTCTGTGCTGGACAGTTCCTATCAGCCAAGGGCAATACTTAGGGGAAAGGACAGCTGTGGGCTGCCAGCAGCCAGCACTTAGCAGCTGAGGAATGGGTGGATCAATTCTCAGGGGAATCTGGGAAAGGCAGCAACGGTGCTTGCTCTGCAGGTCAAATTCAGAGCCAACATTCTGGTCTGGCTTGTTCCCACATAGAGGCAAAAGATTGAACATAGCATCCATTCAGTTTAAAGTGAGGACTTGCAGAATTGACGTAGAGTCTGCTTACCAAAGTAAGGAGCCATTTGAAATTGTGGTTTAGCATGTAAACTGACCAGCAAAAGCAAGAATTTGTTTTTCACAATTTGTAGATAAAAAAATCACAGGGTATTTTGCATTAATTGAATCCACATTTTTATACCTGTTTCAATGGTTTTGGTAATTTGAATATTCAGTACGCTGCAAATATGAAATAATATAATTGCTATATTCCTGTTATTATTTTTTACTTTTCTAAAGAACTACCATAAAATATATTGCAGTTCTGTTTAATTGCTCTACAGGAAACGAGAATACAAAATAATCCACTTCTATTATTCTCAATTTCATTTAGGAGATGAAAAAGTGAATAAAAAAAAGTAATAAGTATGACAGTAACTGAAAGTCACATTTTTTAGAAATTTACAAAATTCTTTATGGAACAATGAGTTTACATCTTTGAAAGTTGGAACTATCATTCTATAATATCACAGTCCTGAAATGGTACATGAATCTGGGTTATCCCACACACAAAATCATCCTCAGAATAAAACTAAATCATATTTTAAGGAAGAGGTAGGGATCTACTTCTAAAACAGTCCAGATACTGTGTTTTGAATGCAGATGTATTTATTTGGAGGTATCATTTTGTTTCATGGATAGCTTTTTTTTTCTGAAAACCTAACCCTATTCATTATTTTCCCCGATAACTAGAATTTTTAGTTTGCTTTTATTTTTGGCTATAAAAATATTTGGTATTTTTCTTTGTTCAACTTCTCAAATTACTAGAGTAAGTCTTTTGCATAAGGTATTTTAAAATGTTATTGATATCAAATACCAGAATACTAAATTGCTGGTTATTTTATATGATAGATTCTGGAATGATTTCAAGTCATAACAGGCTCGTGGATAATCCTATGCTTTTAAATTTTTCTTCAAGCCAATGACTGAAGTATATAAATTAATATCAATCTTGTTTTGGCTTCTTGGTATTAATGCTACACAGGAATCTCTAGTATTGATTACAAGTCATATGAAGTTAGACTGATATGCTTCTTTCCATCTTCTTTCCAAAAATGAATTATGCCAGAAATTCAAGGTTAATGAAGCAAGCTCATTATAATACACCTCTTCTGGGCATTCCTTTCACTTTAGTTAAGTAATTGAAGAAATTAGACAGGTGGAAGCAGACAACGTGATACAGGCATACACATCCTTAGGCTGAGCACATGTGAAATTACATGAGTAGGTTAGGAGAAAAAGTTCCTGTTATGGTCATATCAGCCTACCCAATGCAATAGTCCTTACAACCTAAAACGAATCTTACAGTAACACCAAGAATTTGTTAATCCAAAATTCAATTTCAATTCCTAATTGAAATAGAAATATCAATGTCTGCTGAATGGACTATCAAATCTTGCAAACTTAAATATGGTAGGGCATCAACTAGTCAAGCTTACTCCTTGTCAGTTAGTAGAACCATATTGTCAGGATAGCATACTGTGTTTTGTGAATTCTTAAAGGATCAATGCAAACTTCATAGAAAAGTAATGTTCATTCGTTGCTACTTAAGATACACTGTCCTTGTGTAACTTGGAAATAATTTAGCAATATTAAGTTAAAAAGGATTATACATACTCTGTTGTATATCATAGAACATAGACTGAGATCACTTAATATAACAGCTGGGCAATCTTGGTCAAGTGACTTAAACTCAATCTGCCTTAGATGCCTCATATTTAATATAAACAGCACACTCCACTTGGAGATAATAGATGTTAAACTCTTAGTACATAAAGAAGTGTACCTGGCACATTTCTATTAATACCTAGCAACTCCATTTTTAGTAATAATCCTAAAAAGTAATTAAGGATGTATACAAATGTTTTGCCATAAGAATTTTTAATGTAATATTATTTGTGATAGTGGAAAATATATGAATAATCTTCAAGTCATAACACTGAGGTTTGAAAGATTAAGTTATTAGGATGGAACTTTACACTGACATGGAAAATACTATCATGAAAATGCTTTAATGTATTAACATTATATCACTGAGATAAATTAAAATAGCATATGAAGTATTACTTTAATTTTATTAAAATTAAAAATGTATGCATACAGATACATTAAACAATTCTGCTAAGTGTAAACACAAAGTTAAGGTGGATTCTCAGAATGGAGATGTATGGGTAATCTTATCTTTTCATTTTAGCATATTAATTTTCTGGATGTTTTAAAAGAAATTACAATTTCTTTTTAGGAAAAGAGTAAATTACTTTAAATTTCCAAAAAATCTCTCAAAAATTATATAAAAGTCTCTAACCTACTAAGTGATCTTATAGAGTTCCATGTCTACATAATACTAGTACCTTTTAAAATATATAAATGATGTATACCCAGTAACATTTGTGCTGCTTCTATATGAGGAAAATGCTTTCCACAGAAAGTCTTCTGCTTTCAAATGTAATACTGTAAAACTTTGCAGGAGATATTATCCCCATTATTAACCTAAGATAATAGTGATAAATTATTAACTGACTATACTTAGGTCTTGAGGCAATAAAAATACCACTCTTGCATTACATTCAGCAATCTAGAAAAACAGACACCTGAAAAAGCCTTTAGCTGAGGCTAATAGAAATGGTTCCTATCATGTAGCCTAAAATGTTCGTAATAATGGCCTTTTCTTGGCAGAATGAGCAATGATCTTCAAGAGTACTTCAACTATTTTTTAACTTATAGATACATATCTTCAATGATCAACTCATGAATTTTTCATGCACTTTGTGCAATACCATAAAAGAATATTGTTTTACAAGAAATAGTTTTATTGCCCATAGAAAAATTTTGTGATGTGTCCTAGAAGTAGGAATTCAAGCACACATTCATAATATTACTAGAATAAATTGAAAAGGCAATTAATACTGAATGCAGTCAAAAGTGGACTTGGCATTAGTTGTTTATAGAGAAGAAAACTTGAAACATGGCTACAAGTTAATGGCAGGGAATATTATTAAAAGAAATGATTTCATACTGGAAAACAGAAATAAAAAAGAAATCCATCTATAAGAAATGTAATGAAGGTTACCAGAATGCTGTATCAGAAAGGGCACTGGTTGACACAATTAGCCCTTATATAATATAAAGCAAGGCTTATAATAATCTCAGCTTCATCTATTATTTCATTCATTCATTCATTTACTTATTTATAGTAGATTATTTTCAGATTAAAAAAACAGCTCAAAGTTGGCTAGAACCAAAGAACTTATGTCACCAGGAGTTGCTACTAACTCTTCAGCATACAGATCTGGGAAGCAAATAAAGAGCACTAATGCTGTAGTTTCCTTAAAAATGAAATTGGATAAAGCCCAAAAAAGGAACAGGGGAAAGTGAAACCAAGATTCCAATGCCTACTGATTGATTTAAAGGGAAATTTGTTCTGTCGAAAATGCAAATGTCAGGTAATTTCTTGAAGTTTAAAATGTTTTACTGTTCTTAGTTTCCTCCATCCCAAACTGTGACTATGTTTGTCTAGCTGACAAATGCACACAGTACATTCAGACGCCAAATACCTGGAAGCACATGTCAGGCGTGATTATCACCAGCCTATGCTACATGCCAATTTATTCCACAGGGGCTCTGGGATTATGTGCGTATTGTTAGCCTGCAGTGCCAACAAATCATGTGTAGCACACAAATAAAAATGAAGCCCTCCCCAGCACACATTTCAATATAAGACTTTGTTTTCAGTTGATATACCTTGTATTTTAGAAATAGGTTTATATTTATCTAACAAAAAATTTAAAAAATAAGAAGCATGTATCTGATAATATAGCATTCTGGGACTAATTCCCAGAAATTACATTATAAAACTGAAAATCTGTTTAAAAACTGTATTTTCCAGACAGTCAAATGGGCAAAAATATCAGCTTGTTAATCATTCACTCAATAAATTTCAGAACAGGAACATCACTAACCATCTTTTAATGATTATCATCTAATATTTTAGTACCTACTTACTGCCCTTCTACTGAAACATGTGCCTTCCTTCACGCAAGTACACACACCTGGAAGAACCCTTTTTTGCATTAAGTGATTCTTTTAATGAATAAATCATGAACTTTTTATTCTTCATGAAGTTTTTCTTCAATTGAATAATATCATGAATGTTTTCCTATTACCACTTACTTTGGTTTTCAAATCTCATATTTCACATTTTGCTAAACTTGCATATTATGTAAATATAATGGGTTTCACTTTATGGATTTACATTTGTGATAGGTAAACCCCTAAGTTATCAAAATATTTATAAATACTCATTTATTAAAATTTATATTTTAATTTGTAGGGTCTGAAATAAAGATTGTTGACATGGAAATAAAATAGTAGATTTTTCTGAAATATTTACAACAAACTTTACTCAATTTACTTGAACATCAAGAAATTTAACAAATAAGTGCTAAACTTAAAAGTATCAGAGAAAGCAAAGAGAAAGGAATCAAACCATCAATTAGCAATCCCTCTGTCATCTTATTATTATTGATCTTTTATTCTATCAAGTTAAATTTCTATCCTCACATTTCATGTAGCTATAAGTATTTAACATCTATTAGCATCACCTTCTTTATCTGTTAAATGGATTATGTAATAGGGTTGCTAGAATACTAAATTAGACAGGCTATGTGAAACAGCAAGTATATTGTAGACTTTAATTAACGCTGATCAGCATTTTTTTATATTTCCTCTTCTTTATATCAGCCCTATATCCCGTATCCCCCTCCCTGAAACATATGACCCTACATGCAATTTTATAAAGTTTATGTATTTGTTTAAAGTGTAGATTTGTGGACTTTTCTGCAGATTCATTTTCCTGGGTATTAGTCAGTGGTGCTACTGATGAATATACAGCCATACTACATTTAAAAATCATATTTTAAAATATTTATTTTTTAATTTATGTAATTCCAATTTATTTTGAAATATATAATTCACGTGTGTGTGTGTGTGCGCATGCACGCCCCTGCTTACCTTGTGACTAGCTGCAAACAACCAGATGAGCTTTGTCTGAATGTAAACAACTCCAAATGCATCTCTCTCCATGGCTTGAGCGTTCTTAGCACCTGTGGGAAATGACACATTCAGCAGATAATAGACAAAGTTTTTACTTTGTATCTAGTGGCGTTAAATGTATCTGTAAGTGAAATTGAGCTATCAAAACTATGGTACAACTATAAAAGGCAACCCATATTTTCAAAACTACAATAATGTCCTCTTTCTTTAGACAAAAGTCAATATGTAAATAATGTCGTATCGTCAATTAAAAGAAAAAACAATAATTATATAATTTCAATTCTTTTCCAATGTCATATTTTCTCCCAAGATAAGTACAACAGGCATATAAAAATATG
This sequence comes from Homo sapiens, assembly GCF_000001405.40. Taxonomy (NCBI): domain Eukaryota; kingdom Metazoa; phylum Chordata; class Mammalia; order Primates; family Hominidae; genus Homo; species Homo sapiens. The sequence goes on along the minus strand of NC_000004.12, from coordinate 96,310,414 downwards.
GTCATAATTATTACCTTTCTGACTCTGGAGAATTTACTTAAACTCCTCAGGGTCCCGGTTTCCTATTCTGCAGTTTGTAATAACACAATAGCATGTTTGGTTTTATGATTATTAAATGAAATAATGTTTTAGTACTTAGAAGATTGTCAATATGTAATAAATATTAAGTGTCAGTAAGGGGAAAATATAAAAATAACATGAATAAAATAACCTAGTATCATCAAGTTTAATAATATAATGTAGCTATATGATTATTATAAAGTCACTAAAATGTTGTTTAGAAAATGGCTGCTAAAATTTCCATCTGTTTGTCTATTTTTTATTTTCTTAAATATTGAAACTGTAGCCAGAAATTGGAAGAAGCAGTTTTGTTTGATTATAGGCTATGGCTGTGGCTACAAATATATATATATACACATATATATATACATATATATAACTGCTTGACTTCTTATTGGGAATGACAAAAATTTACCTGCTGAGATCCTAAGGAAAGTATTGTGCTCCTTGATCATAAGATATATCCTGTTCTGAGTGCACATGAAGGAGCCTGGTTTTCTCTTTTGTTGGAAACTCAGGCACTTGGTTTGGGGTTTGCAGCAAAACACTTTGGATAAAAGGGTGTGCTACATAGTAAAATAAAAGTTATAACACTTGCTCTTTACCAAGACTTTCCTATGTGTCCATCTGCCTTCTTGAATATTTCAGCCAATTTAATGTTTATGAGTTCTGTTATAATTTCCTATTTTACAAGTGAGAAAACTAAGGTAAATTAGCGTGGTAAAGGGTAAACTCATTAAGAGACTGTATTAGACTGTTCTCAGGCTGCTGATAAAGACATACTCGAGATTGGGCAATTTACAAAAGAAAGAGGTTAATAGACTTAGAGTTCCACATGGCTGGGGAGGCCTCACAATCATGGCAGAAGGCAGGGAGGAAGAAGTCACGTCTCACATGGATGGCAGCAGGCAAAGAGAGAGAAAGCTCACGCAGGGAAACTCCTCTTTATTAAACCATCAGATCTCATGAGACTTATTCACTATCAAGTGAACGGAATGGGAAATACATCCCCCCTGACTCAGTTATCTCCCACTGGGTCCCTTCCACAACACATGAGAATTCAAGATCAGATTTGGGTGGAGATACAGCCAAACCATATTATTCCACCTCTGGCCCCTCCCAGGTCTCACATCCTCACATTTCAAAACCAATCATGACTTCCCAACAATCTCCCGAAGTCTCAACTCATTTCAGCATTTACTCAAAAGTCTACAATCCAAAGCTTCATCGAAGACAAGGCAAGTCCCTTCCATCTATGAGCCTGTAAAATCAGAAGCAAGTTAGTTACTTCCTAGATACAATCAGGTACAGGCATTGGATAAATACAGCTAATCAAAATGGGATAAATTGGCAAAACAAAGGGGCTACAGGCCACATGAAAGTCTGAAATCCAGCAGGGCAGCCAAATCTTAAAGATCGAAAATGATCTCATTTAACTCTGTGCCTCACATCCAGGTCATGCTGATGCAAGAGGTCAGTTCCCATGATCTTGGTCAGCTCTGCCCTTGTGGCTTTTCAGGGTACAGCCTCCCACCTGGATGCTTTCATGGGCTGGCACTGAGTGTCTGCAGCTTCTCCAGGTGCACAGTGCAAGCTTTCAGTGGATCTACCATTCTGGGGTGTGGAGGACAGTGGCCTTCTCACAGATCCACTAGGTGGGGACTCTATGTAGGGGCTCCCACCCAATATTTCCCTTCTGCACTGCCCTAGCAGTGCAGGTTCTCCATGATAGCCTTGTCCCTGCAACAAACTTCTGGTGGGCATCCAGTCATTTCCATGGATTTTCTGAAATCTAGGCAGAGGTTCCTGAACCTCAATTCTTGACTTTGCTGTACCTACAGGTTCAACACCACATGGAAGCTGACAAGGCTTGGGGCTTCCAGCCTCTGAAGCAACAGCTCCAGGTGTAACTTGGCTCTTTTTAGTCATGGCTGGAGCTGCTGGGATGCAGGGCACCAAGTCCCTAGACTGCACACAGCAGAGGGACCCTGGACCTGGCCCACAAAACCATTTTTTCCTCCTAAACCTCTGGGCCTTTGATGGGAGGGGCTACCATAAAGATCTCTGACATGCCTTGGAGACATTTTCTCCACTGTCTTGGTGATTCGGTTTCCCATTACTTATGCAAATTTCTGCAGCTGGCTTGAATTTCTCCTCAGAAAATTGGATTTTCTTTTCTATCACATTGGCAGGCTGCAAATTTTCTAAACTTTTATGCTCTGTTCCCTTTTAAAACTGAATGTCTTTAACAGCAACCAAGTCACCTCTTTAATGCTTTGCTGCTTAGAACTTTCTTCCACCAGATACCCTAAATCATCTCTCTCAAGTTCAAAGTTCCATAAATCTCTAGGGCAGTGGCAAAATGCCACTAGCCTCTTTGCTAAACCATAACAAGAGTCACCTTTGCTACAGTTCCCAAAAAGTTTTTTATCTCCATCTGAGACCACCTCAGGCTGGATTTAATTGTCCATATCACTATCAGCATTTTTGGCAAAGCCATTCAACAAGTCTCTATGAAGTTCCAAACTTGCCCACATTTTTCTATCTTCTTTTGGACCTTGCAAACCATTCCAACCTCTGCCTGTTATCCAGTTTCAAAGTTGCTTCCAAATTTTGGGGTATCTTTTCATCAGCACCCACTCCTGGTACTAGTTTACTGTACTCGTCTGTTCTCATGCTGCTGCTAAAGACATACCTGAGACTCTGCAATTTACAAAAGAAAGAGGTTTAATGGACTTACAGTTCCATATGGCTTGGGAGGCCTCACAATCATGGTGGAAGGCAGGGAAGAGCAAGTCATGTCTTACATGGATGGCAGCAGGCAAAGAGAGAGCAACCTTGTGCAGGGGAACTCTTCTTTATAAAATGATCAGATCCCATGAGACTTATTCACCATCAGGAGAACAGCACAGGAAAGACATCCCCCATGACTCAATTATCTCCCACCAGGTTCTTCCCACAACACATGGGAATTCAAGATAAGATTGGGGTAGGGACACAGCAAAACCATATCAGAGATCAAGTCTAGAATGGGAACAAATCTAGTTAATTCAAAGTCTGTCTCATCCACCACTTCATAGACTACTTTCTCACTCTCTGCTAACTTTAATATCATACTAGTTTTCTATACATCAGATAATAGTCTTATCAATCACAGTAGTTCAGTTATTTTCATATAAACATTATATTCTTCTTTATTCTCTATTCCCCTAATCAACTTTATTTACATATCTAATATGTGTTCTTAATTTGTTTTTTAATTGTGCTTTTTACGTGTGAATTCTTTATGAGGATATTTAGTACCACATGATACATAATCTCTATGAAACAGCTCATTCAAACACATTTGAACAGCTACATGGTAACATTTCTCAAAAACATTTATAGCATGATAAAGATCTGTTAATCCCTAACCTGAGAACACTATTTCATGTTGAATATGTAAGTACTTTCAGCAAGGTTGTTTCAAGGGAAGTGTTTTGTTGTTGTTGTTGTTGTTTTTGGAGATGGAGTCTCACTCTGTCACCCAGGCTGGAGTGCAGAGGCACAATCTCGGCTCACTGCAACCTCCACCTCCCAGGTTCAAGTCATTCTCCTGCCTCAGCCTCCCAAGTAGCTGGGATTACAGGCATGCACCACCACACCCAGCTAATTTTTGTATTTGTAATTAGAAAGTTTCTGTAATAACATATAATAATTATTTTATGATAGCATCCAAAAGCAAAATATTCCAAATCTATTACAGAAAATTATCTTTAATTTTTTTTTTCAGTAGACACAAGGTCTCATTGTTTCCCAAGCTGGTCTCAAACTCTGGGCTTAAGTAATCCTCTTGCCTTGGCCTCCAAAAGTGTTGGGATTACAGGTGTGAACCACTATGTCAGCTCAGAAAACTATCTTATCTTTGATGTTAGTCAACTGTAGAATCAGAAATTAAATAAAATAATTTCAATTATTCCTTGAAGTTGTTTCTCTAGAATTAAAACTTGCCTAACTCTAAGGAAACAAGATAAAATTTTTGTGCCTTTACTCTATTATCCTTCATTCACTAATGCAGTAATTACTGAGTGTCTACTAATATGTTTGGCACGGTTAACCCACATTTTCTCAGTATATTTTAATAACAAATAGGTTAAAAAGTAACAAGTCAATTTAGAAATAAATGTTAATTTAATAATCAGAAAAACATATTGTGCTCAATTAGAGACAGAAACAAACTAAAGCAAATTCAACATTTTTATAGGTTCAAGATGTTAATGATTATTCTATGACAATTTTAAAATACATTAAAATGCCACTTGCTGAATTATTATGGCTTGTGTGAGGATTACTGCAAATAGTCCATTGTGTTCTATTTTTATAAGGTCAGTGATTGGAACCCAAAATTAAGAAGGGCAATATCTACATGATATTACAGTGCACCAAATATTAATGCTGCATTTTACTAATAAAATATCTTTACTATTCTAAATATCAGCAGCTATTTATAAGATGAGTAAATGTTGCATTCTGAAAAATAAAAATAGAAATAGTAATTGCCAGTAGCTAATTGCTGAATAAAACTATTAAAACTCTGATTATATGTTGAGAAAGAAAAACTTAACTTTCACACTACCAGATGTTAATTTATCATCCTAGTATTAGATTCAATATTGGACATGGTAAAAGATGAAAAATTACAAAACAAATTTTAAATGAATTCAACAAATTAAATATTATCTTTGGAAGATCATGAAAAGTTATTTTATATAATTTGATTTGACTAGAAAGTGTTTATTTTGTCACACAACTGCAATATAAAATTGCTAAAGAAACAAATTATATACCAATGATTATTCTACAACTCATTTTTGATGTTTGGAGCATCAAGAGGATTAAAATGTTTTCACATGTGTGTATTTCATCTCTCAAAACATAGTGAAACTGTAAGTTCATTGAAGCCACAAGTAATGTATAATGCTGTACTATTTATACACTAGCTACTCCTACCCTCATACCAGTTTCTGGCTTATCACTAAATCCTCGTTGACCTACATTTTTCCTGCTTTGAACTATCACATGTTACATCAGTTAACTGTAGTAATTATTTAGCTGCTTATCTATGTTGACATGGAATTTGATCAGACTAAGTTATAACAATGCCAAGAGGCAAATCAAATGACCCTGGAGGCCCCTTATCTCCAGTTTTGATAACCAACAAGAAACCCTTTAGCAGATCTACAGCCACTCACTGAAGAGCTGGCTGATACTAGAGGGTTAGACCTGGAGATTCAACTTTTTTTTAAAAAAAGACTTTGATAAAGACTTTGACAAGTTCTAGTTATTTCACCTTCGTTGCAACATTTTCTGCCTGTCATTTCCTTTATTAGGATGTTTCTTCCCCAAAAGCTCTTTCTGTGGAACATCCAGTACAGCCATAGCTACTTTAAGTCAATCTGGTCTAATGAGAGCCCATAGATAACATGTGCCCTGATACTTTCTTACTCGTAAGTTTTCCCTCAATATGCCTGATTTTCCATTTACCCATGACGGAATAGTAGGAAGTTATGTGTGTACCTGTGCCTTATTTGCATGACAATGGATGTGGAGGCCTATTACTATAAATTTAATATGTCAGAACACCTCACTTAAATGGTAAAGGCAAAGGGGACAAAGCCCTAAATAGCTAATATCTGCATGTATGTCTTTTTTGGAGGGTTTGGGGATAGGTAGGAATGGTAGGATAAAGTACACCTTGATGAATTTCTTCAAAATGCTGCAATAGCACTTTATTGAGAATAGACTAAGAACCCTTTGGAATCACTGATTTAATGTCTTTAAGCTAGAAAAGTAGCACTGAAAACTTAAACAACCGTAAATCCCAACAATTCAAGACAGAATGTTAATATGCTAGCACAGATCCTTTAAGATTCTTTTTACATTTGTATATAGTTTAGTAGAGCATGTTATCCATACACTTTTACAACTTGTTCTCAGTAAATATATATATATTTGTTTGTTTTGTTTTGAGATGGATTTTTGCTCTTGTTGTTCAGGCCGGAGTGCAATGGCGTGATCTCAGCTCACTGCAACCTCTGTCTCCCGGGTTCAAGTGATTAACCTCAGCCTCCAAAGTAGCTAGGATTACAGGTGCCCATCACCATGCCCAGATAAATTTTGTATTTTTAGTAGAAACAAGGCTTCACCATGTTGGCCAGGCTGCTCTTGAACTCCTGACCTCCGTTGATCCACCTGCTTCGGCCTCCCAAAGTGCTGGGATTACAGGCATGAGTCACTGCGCCTGGCCTCAGTAAATATATTATAAACATGATTCTCCTCTTATCATAAACATTATTATCACAGAGAGAATACCTAGCATAGAGGTCATTTATTTCTCAAAAATGTTAGCACAGTCTAGCAAAGACACATATAATAATTGGCATTTTATGTTATAGAATAATCAAAAAAGTATCTCACTTTGTCTCTTATTCCTCATATAATTTATTTAAATGAACCATATTTGAGAACAAAATGGATTGATTTTAAAGGTTCCTATAATTATCTCTTTGATGAGCATTTACACAAGAAAACACAGATTAATTTAGTTCCCCAAAGAAGAGAAGTATTTTTTTAATTGCTAGAGTCTCTTTTGAGACCAAAGGCCACTGTACAACTAGTCTAAACTGCTATAGAGATTTGACAAAGGAGTCCACAGTCTTATATAATCATCTCTTGAAGTGATTTTCAACATCACATTTCCTTCTAGTACAAAAATTAAATAAATCTACCCATCAATTTAGGTGACGATTACAGCTAGAAACTCAAGGGTATATATAAGCTATTTGCTGATTCTCTTTCAAAGGCAGTGATTAAATTCAAATACTATAATAGGACACTCAGAGGCCTCCAAGACCTGGTCCCACTGTCACTCCCATTTATGTTCTTCACGACAATTACATATGAAATGTGTTCAATTATTTCAATACTGCTATGCATTTGCTCAGATTTTCCTTCTTTCAGGAATGCCTTCTTTTTTTTTTTTTTCCTATAACTTTCTCTGGCCAGCAATGATCTACCCAGCATCCAAGACCGAGGGCAAAAGCTGTCTTTTCTCTGAAGCTTCCACGGAGCTCTTCTGACTCATCACTGCACTTCATATGCTGATACAGAGTTTCCCATATTCCACCTTCTATGATAGATGTTAAGGCTTATATTTCATTCCCTTTACTTGATTGGCAGTATTTGGGTGTCATATATCAGCACCTCACAGCATCAACTTCAACATTTTATATGTAGTGCTGCTAATCCTTATTTACTCAGTTGAATGTGTCTAATCATTAGATGGCAAGAAACTTGAGTGATTGCTATGATTCTAAAATTTTAAGTAAAATATATGTGATAATTGGATGACTATATTCAAAATATGAGACCAACTTTACTCCCTTTATTTCAGTGGGGGTTTTTATTAAGAAAATGAAACTATAAAAAAACTGACAATTATGTTGCTTTATTAAAAACAATGGCATTATTTTTCTATGGATAACTAGAATATCACAAACAAATAAAATCCAGATGTTTTCCCCAAATCTCATTTTAATCTCTTCTCCTTTTAGAACATCCTGGGATTAGGGTCTCTTCTACTGTCATTTCCTGGTATACTTAACAAAAAGTCTCCATAAACACAAACATTTCCAAGAGAGTGCCAGTTTCAAAGCCAATAAATTTGAATCCAGGGATGGTGTGAAAGTGAGGTATAAAACACGGAGTGATCAGTTCTCGTCTTGTTTCTTCCCTCTGCTAATTCTAGGATTTGGGCAGGTTACTTACCCTGGTTCAACTGCAGCTGGCTCATCAAAAATGAGCGGAGAGAATCTTACTCCATAGGGTTATTGTGAGAATGAAAATAGAATATAAGTGATCAAAATACGTAAGCATAGTTATATTATTTATTCTTCACTATTATAGGTCTTCCTAGCTATCTTCTAAAAGACAAACATTGGCAGAACCAAAGCCTGACTTTCTCTAACTGATGACAATCTTCAGCCCAGTCATGTTTCAGGCAGATAAACATACTTTTAGCTTACAACCTTTTCTTCAATTGAAAATTTATTTATTAAATTAGAAAGTTTTCTTTTGGAAAATAATATGTTATAAAAAAAACATGAGGAACAGTGCTGGTCGTATACTTTATTCCAACATCCATTGGTTCATTTTTCCACCTCCTAGGAAGTTAATGAGTTTCACACAGGGTCGGAAAGAGTGATAAAACACAGAGGAACATTTTCTCTAATTCTATTATTTGCGTAAGAATTCTTCTACAATGCACGCCAGAAATAAAATAATTAGGCGTATGCTTGTCTGCAATCTAGGGGATAATGTAAGTGTGTTATTTAGCATAGAGGTAATGGCAAACTGAAGCTTTCCAATTATATAAAAAATGCTGACATATCAATTCTGTTGCCTCATACATATCATTAGATTTGTGCTTGACTGAATAGCATGAAGTCATCTTCATATGTCTTGAGAAATACACCTTCAATTAATGGCACTATACACAATCTATTCAAGAGTTTTCTTGAGAATTAATAATGATTTTTTATGGGTTTGTGTTTGGTAAATGATGCTATAAATGAACTCAGACCAGAGCAATTACTAAACAGAGGAAAACATGAATCTGTCCTTTCTTAGGATTATGACATAAAAAATTAAATGATGTTCTAATCATTTAATAGCATCAATTGAATTTCAGATAATGCTAGTCTCCCTGACTAGGGTCTATAATTTAAAAAGTTTTCTATGCAGAAAATGTGCTTACCAGTATTTTATTCTTTAAGTCTCCTTAATAATTTTTCAAGAATTTCTGTCTTTTGTCCTGTGTTCTACAGATTTTTCTACTAACGCTAATTTTGCAGTCACATTTATAAAAATTTCAAATTCTCTATTTTTACTTTAGAGTTAATCAGTAAACACAAAAAGTTATTCCTGCACGTTCGAAACCAAGAGGGATACTCTGAAAGTAAAGAAAGTCTTTCTCATGCATATACTCTTGCTCCCTCCAGCTTGTGCTTGCCATCTCTTCTCCCTTTCTCTCCCTCTCTCTCCCCTCTCTTGCTCTCACTTTAGCTCTTACTCTCTGTCTCTCTCATTAATGCTTCTAAATCATCAATAGAGTTGCTGAGACCAAGTGAGATTCTTCTATGTTAGGGATATGATTGGCAAGGAATGGGAAAGGGAGGATATAAGGGTGTGTACCTACAATCAGATTAAATCAGGGCTTTCCTGTTACTACACTGATCTAAGAAACCACTGCGGCCAAGTTACAGAAATCAGGCACAACATTTAAGACAAGGCAGTATTTCTTTTTAAAGAATAAACCATTAATGCAGAGCCAAATTTCTTTAGCTTTTTTAAAAAATTAAAGTATCTTCTGAATGGAAACTTCAATTGGTTGAAATGTAGAAGTATCAAGCAATTGATACTTTATATTTTTTTTCTTGCATGATATGAATTTGTTTTACTTTGGGAAAATGAATACAAAGATTAACATTCCTTGTCAATATTGTCAGAGTGAGGGAAAATGGAACCAAAATCTGCTATGTTATCAGTATTAACCAAGAACAATAACTTACACTTTAGTTCAAAATTCAATAAAATACTTCATGTTACGTCTTTAAGAAGTACAACTTGTGAGGTTAAGATTTCTTTATAAATTTTTTCATACTGTGTTAGTTAAAGTAAGATCATCCCTTTCCCTTTTATTTTCTTTTTCCTTTTCAATAATGATGAATTCCTTTTTCTTTTCTTTTCTTTTTTTTTTTTTTTTTTTTTTTTCGTTTGAGACGGAGTCTCACTCTGTGGCCCAGGCTGGAGCGCAGTGGAGCCATCTCGGCTCACTGCACGCTCCACCTCCCGTGTTCACGGCCATTCTCCTGCCTCAGCCTCCCGAGTAGCTGGGACTACAGGCGCCCGCCACCACGCCTGGCTAATTTTTTGTATTTTTAGTAGAGACGGGATTTCACCACGTTAGCCAGGATGGTCTCACTCTCCTGACCTCGTGACCCACCTGCCTTGGCCTCCCAAAGTGCTGGGATTACAGGCGTGAGCCACCGCACCCGGCTGAATTCCTTTTTCTAAATTACTTAGGTTAAAAGAATTTCCTAGATGGTCTATGAAGTAATGCTCAAACAACTTACAAATTTCACTAATTGCTAAACCATGACATAAACATCAGATAGAAAACATTTATATAATTATGCTCACATACATCTCTTCATTAAGAATTTTATGCAGTTGCCCAAATGTGTAAATCATTAATAATTCCTTTATTAATATACATTTCATTGTTTCTGCCACAAGGCAGTGTAGATTAACATAAGCACACGTGTGTGTGTGTGTGTGTGTGTGTGTGTTTATCTTCTGTCCCTCAGAAAAACAGTCTTATACATAATGGAAACACTTGATAAAAGATGTATCTCTACAAGATATACAATTAAAAATTATAATTTGATTCTAGATTAATTAGGTGAACTGGAATTTTTTAGTAAATATTTAGCTCATGTACTAAAAGGAGAGTGTAGTGAACAAAATAGTGTAAACAGCTGCCTACTTTTGAGGAATTTTCCAAATCTTCTAAGAGTATTTTTTTATCTTAAGGATCAAAAGCTGGTTGAAATTATATGCTTTTAATCAGTAAGCCATTTTTATAAACACTGGCTAATTTTCATGAGTCTTCAGCAAATTATAATAAAATAATGAAAGAAGTATTATCCTTCTGTAACTCATATTCAGTTACTTATGTAAGATAATAAAATGCTTTTCCACGGAGTGGAGGAAAAAGTCCTCAAAGGAGATCACTCCTAATTGCCTTTTAGGATCATACCAACACTTGTAGCTACTGCCATCCTTCTGTCTCAGAAATGGAATTCTTTGTTTTGTAAATGGATCTCCGATAACTTACCAAATTTCTCACAGCTTGGGAAATTTTCTTATGTAATGGTTATAATGTCTTATCAGACTGAAGGGTCTTTTTTTGCCCCCAGTGCTTATGAAACGAGAGTGTTTAAGGATTATTTTATGGGTTCTGAATGACTCTACACACTCTCTGACCAGCCAGGTCTCGGGAAGAGGTCCCATTCTGGAAGATCCTCAAAACAGAGCATGTTTGCTCATAGCAGTAGAAGAGTTTTCTCTAAGAAGCTCATTAATTTCTAAGCTAAATAACAAAGGAGCGTAAATAGCGTTTCTCAATCTATAATTCCAGAGTTTCACTTAAGTCAGTTTCAAAGTAGGCATGAATGCTTGAGGAGACTTCAAAATTGTCAAAGTGTCATTCTCAAAGAGTTAAAAAGTGGAACGCTCACACAAATACAAAAATTTTTAAACTCTTTGTATTAGTTTTCTCTTGCTGCTGTAATAGATTACCACAAATTTAGTGGCTTAAAACAACTCAAACTAATTATCTGACATCTCTGTAGGACAGAAGTCCAACATGGGTCTCACATGGATAAAATCACAAAGTCAGCAAAGCTGCATTCTTTTCTGGAGATTCTAGGGGAAGATCCATTTCCTATTCTTTTGGGCTGCTGGCAGAATTCGGTTTCCCTTAGTGGTAGTACTGAGGTCCTGGGGATTTTCTGTTGCTATTGGCTGTTAAGTAGAGGCCACCATTTACACCATGAGGTTTCTCTTTGGTTATTGTTCTTAGCTCCCTATATCTCAGAACCAGCAAGGGAGCATTGAGTCCTTCCCATGGCAGTATTTCTCTGACACACTGTCTGCTGTCAAATCTTTCTCACGGACTACAGCTAGGAATGGTTCTCTGCTTTTAGGGACTCATGTGGTTAGCTTGGACCTACCTGTTTTATCCAGGATAATCTCATATCTTAAATTCTATAATTATATAAACACATCTGCAAAGTCCCTTTTTCCATGTAATAATGTATTCGCAAATTACAGGGAATAGAGTGTGAACATTTGTGGGAGGAGCATTATTCTGCATACCACACTTATTAATAAGCTAAATAGCCCAATAGTAGAACTAATTCAGAGGGAAATAGAGACTCATATAAAATCAATGAGACAAAAATAATGCTGAAACAAATTTACATGGATAGATACAAAACAAGTTAATGCATTACAAGGCAATTACACTGTATCATTTGGATTTATCTCTTCTAGTGGAGAAAATTTACTTAATCTTTCGTAAATGGAAATTATTTGCTACCTATCAATGAATTATAAATTAATATATAGATGTAGAATGTGGGTCCTAATCAATAGTAAATAGGTCAAACAAAACTATATTTCTTGTAGTCAAACTTCATAGGATTTATTTTCTACTTAGTTACAAGGCTTTTTTGTCTTTTGAAAAGCAAATGGATGATTTGCTTTTAAAATCAATGGATGATTACCAGTTTATTTGGAATAACTCTAAAAACTAATATTCCTGGTTAAGTAGCAGATGTCAAACAGGAAAATAAACTATTCATGTTAACAGTAATCTATTTGATAAATTATCTTGAATAAGAATAGATTTGTATATATAAATAATATGTATATGCATATAATATGTATATCCACAATGTATTTTTACCTGTGTATACATATACATATATATGTATAATGTAGGGATATTTGTGTCCCTGTACATCAATATTAAATATATTTATGTTTGTATTTGCTAAGGACTCTACAAAGAAAAGCAAAACAAAATTACTACATGCAATTCACAGGGAATTTCTTTCTCAGTCTTCTTCCATAAGACATTTTGAAAGTAATCATTGTAAATTCTTAGAAATATCAATTTAATTCAATGTACATTTATTGAAGTCATACTATGAAATATGAATTATATCAGACACAATGAATATTAGAAAATGAGTAACATATCGCCTCGGGTCTCAAAGGACATGTAGTCTAATGGTTGAGATGAATACATAATCAAATAGCTCTAATATAATCTGAAAACTGCTCAATAGGCAGATATAAGAAATATTCCTTAAAAGTGGAGAGTCATTCCTGGCTGTGGCCAGAGGGAAAGATTTGACAACACAGAGTTTATCAGAGAAATATTGCAACGGGAAAAACTCAATGTCCCCTTGTTGGTTCTACAATGTAGGAGGCTAACAGCAAGAATCAAATATTTTGAAAATGAAAATGCATAATTAAATAGTTTTCCTTGGGAGAGAGTTTCATAGGAAACTGAGGAAATGAAGATACACTTGATATCACTTTTAAAATATCAGTAGGGATGGGACAGGTTAAAAAGATGTATGGGCCATACAGAGAGACAGTAAGATTCCGGTATGATACCAGCGGAAAGGGTATGTCTGGTGGTGACTGGGATGAGACAGGAAAGGTAGGCCAGAGGCTTGCTCTGAAGAGACACTTTGCACAGTCGGGCAGATGGAGCTAAACAAATACCAGCTCTTCTCTTATTTATTGTGTGTCCTTGAAAAGGTAATTAACTTTTCTAATCTTGAATAAATTGTATTAAAATATCTCCATCAGAGCATTGTCATAAGCTACCATTGTTTCTCATATACCATGATTTAATGTGTAGACTTTTTTCCCATAAATAATGGAAATTCACCTGAAAATTTTTAAAAAGCCATCGTGGCAGCAGAGTAGACAGAAGATGGACTGGGATGTCAAGAGGTTGAATGTAGAGAGGCCATATCAATCATTCACGTAACACATGATGGGGGCTGAAAATCGGATGGTGGGCTGGAGAGAGGAGGTAGTTGCTACAGGAATTTGGAGGTACAGGCCTGACTAGAATGGTAACATGGTTTTTTATTGACATGCGATGAAAGGATAAAGAAGATATCAACTATAACATTAAGGTCCCTGATTTAGACAACTTATTAATGGTGATATTATTTAAGAGAATGGGAGGTATGGAAGAAATACTAGTAGATCAGTAGGAAAGATTTTTGAGTTAAGTTTTTAAAGTCTTGTTTTTGTTAGAAATAAAACTGTAAAATAAATTACTTTTTCTGTAATTGTCTTTCTGAATTTTTTTCCCTTTTCTAATAAATAGAAACTGCTGTATAGTGAACTAGAATGTGACTTAATTGTATAATTTAATGTAACACAAAGACATGTAATGTGTTTAGCTCTATGACATTGTAATACTTTGTGGAATCTTCATCTCACTATTTTTGTATTGTAAAAGCCTTGCCACATTATCGCAGGTCTTTACTTTTTACTTACTCCATTGAAAAGGCTGCCTGTAAAGCTATCAGACATGAACCAAAATACCTTGAGAACAGAGACATTTTCTTTTATTTGCCTTGAAATCTGCTCACTGTGTTTTGTTGCTGTGGTCACAGTAAATGTTCACATATATTATGCCACAAAATTATCCTATATCTTTAAATGCAGACATTTCTTAAACTCTTATTGCGAAGTTAATTAACTTCCAATTTGGTTGACAAGAGCTAATGCAACAGACTGTTGATATTCACAAGGGCCCTAAGAAATTGCATTCCAAGATTATAATCTATTGTGCCTCCAACGGAAAACACAAAATTCAAAGCAGGAAGCCTGATCTAACCTTCTGGCTCATTTGAGTCAATCAACTATAACTAATTAAGAAGGTTTGCTTTCGGGAGGCCTGGACCCATTTTGGATGTTGGGCCTTACCCAATAGCCACCTGGTCCCAAGCAGCAAAGCTAGGAGAGGGTGAAGTAACATTCCCTTCCCTGAGGCCTGACCAACACACACTGTGCTAATCACATTTTGCTTGTGCCCATCGACCCTGTCTCTTACCTATGTCATCATTCTGCCAGTTACTGCCTCCTGCTAAGTTTTCTGCTGCATAGTTTGACTCTAGACAGTTCGTTCTGAGTGTAGGGCAGGGAGAAATTAGGTGAACAGTTTTCATTATCATCAGCAGCAGTTGTGTGTCATGCTGAAAATATCCACAGTAAATTATTAGGAGCACAAGGGAAAAGGAAAGAGAAAGAGAAAGACCGAATGTTAAAAGCCTCCGAGGTAATCTGTGCAAAAGATAGTAAAGAGAGAACAGCTCCCTACCCTAAGAGCATCTGCCTGAGGAGCTGGGACCCAGGTCCCCACACTGTATAGTATTACAGATGTTCTGAAACATCTTGTACTAATTCTGACTCATTAGGCTAATTTTCTTTTCAAGAGGATATAAGGCAATGGAAAAACTCATTTCAATTTTGCACATACTTGTTTTACACAAGTCATTTAAACAGAAATCATGTAGTTATAAAAGACTAACTTTTAAGTCAGGGTTTAGAAACACATCACTGAAGCAAAAGCCAAGAACTTCTTGGTCAGTGTACAAATAAACCTTTTATAAGGTTACCCAAAGGGCATTTTAAAGGTAGGGAGAATTTAACATGTGTATTTAAAGAATAATATTGTTTTGCCTTTAATTTAAATTAGATCTTTCCCACCTACAGATATTTAAGAATAATATTTTATTTCTTAATCTTGAAAAACAATAGAACCATCAGAACCAATTATTCAAATGACAGAAACTTTAAATATATATTTTATTAACTACGTATTAGTATGAAATTAAATTATATAGTTGAAATAATACGTATTTGTACCAAAAAGCCTGACATCTTGAATTGTGCACTCTGATACCTCATTCAATCTCCTTATGGAGGAAGATGGTTCCAGCATACAGGAGGCAGGCTAAAATTGTTATTACTATTAACATTACTTCCCATCATGATTTCTTTTTTTTGGTCCTAAATGTAAAAAATCAATTATGTAATGAATCAATATGTAATGAAGTTCTAAGATAGTAATCCTAGTATTTTCAAACTTCATCAAATGAAACATTTGAAATAAAAAAACTGGTATAAATATATTGAATAAAGAATTTAAGAAATTTTCATTTGTTTTAAACTTGCTTATATATTAAATGTTTCTACAAATACATAAATAATAATAGGAACTTCCACTTTCATCAGTGTGACAAGAGTCCAGATCAAGAACTGATCTTTTGTCAGGAGACTTCCTGAGGTAAGAATTGAAGCAGAGCACCAGAGCAGGCTTAGATGGATACTGGTTACCCACACTTACCCTTCCTTAAGGAATTTTGCTGCCAGGTATTCTGGTGTTTTGGAGTTCGTGCAGGGCAGTGGGGTGCAATGATGCAGTATGGCCCTAATTTGTTCATGCTTCCCAGTACCCACGATCCTTGGAAGTGCTTGTGCACACTGACTCTGGGCTTCGCCCTGTGATTTTCTTTGGGCAATGGGAACAGTAGCGAAGATGATTTAAATGGACTTGAAGCATACTTGTAAATTGGAACTTGCCCTCTTGCTGCTTTTAAAGTCTGTAAACTCTTGTCACCAGGTAAACAAGCTCCATCTGTCCTTGTAGATGACGACAGGCCACCGAGAGAGAAGCCCCAGTTATCCCAGCTGTCATATCTGAGGCCATTAGAAATTACTTAGTCATTGTTGACCTACCAGCTTACTGCAGAAACTTGAATGAGTAAAGCTGAGATTAGCCAATTCTAGACCAAATTAAAACAACCACCCTGCTGAGATTAACCCAAATTTCTGACCTGTGGATTCATTAGCTAAATAAATGTGTGAATGTAGTTTTAACAAAACTAATGCGATTTGTTATGTAGCAAGAACTAACTAATGTAGACAGCATGGCAAACCGGGGAAACTCCTACATATAATGGTACTCTGGTAATAATAATTCTGTGAATGATGGTCATAACAACAATAAAAATAATAAAGCCTCATCATCTAAAGGAAAAATATCCCATATCTTTGGCATGGTACATTAGGTTTTCCATGATCTAAACTCTGCCATGATCTAAACTCTTTCCACGATCTAAAATAAAATTATTTTATTTTAAAATAAAATTAGTTTATTATTTTATTTTAAAATAAAATTAGTTTATTATTTTATTTTAA
Source organism: Homo sapiens (assembly GCF_000001405.40). Classification (NCBI taxonomy): domain Eukaryota; kingdom Metazoa; phylum Chordata; class Mammalia; order Primates; family Hominidae; genus Homo; species Homo sapiens. The sequence goes on along the minus strand of NC_000004.12, from coordinate 96,293,452 downwards.
AATAAAATTAGTTTATTATTTTATTTTAAAATAAAATTAGTTTATTATTTTATTTTAAAATAAAATTAGTTTATTATTTTATTTTAAAATAAAATTAGTTTATTATTTTATTTTAAAATAAAATTAGTTTATTATTTTATTTTAAAATAAAATTAGTTTATTATTTTATTTTAAAATAAAATTAGTTTATTATTTTATTTTAAAATAAAATTAGTTTATTATTTTATTTTAAAATAAAATTAGTTTATTATTTTATTTTAAAATAAAATTAGTTTATTATTTTATTTTAAAATAAAATTAGTTTATTATTTTATTTTAAAATAAAATTAGTTTATCTTCCTAATTTCTGCACAATCTCCCATTATGCAGTCTAATTTCAAGTGTAAAAATTCATATTCATCAAGGCAGAAATAAAAGTTTATCTATAAACAACAGCCTCACACTTCTACTCTGCTTCACTAAATTCCAAAAGGTGATTGAGCATTATTGATGTTTTTCAGGAAGGTTCTTGACAAAAATTCTATACTCAGATAAGTTACCAGAAATAGATGAAAGCAGAGAAAAATATACCTATCTTTCTTGAAAACATACCTCCAATAACAATTTCAGCCAACTGAAACATGAATTAAAACAAAAAATATAGAAATGGTAAAATTACAGAATTAAATAAATAATGGAGAAAGCTGAAATATTACATGCTTAATAAACATAATATGGAATAAGAATTTGATGCACAAGCTAAAATTAATTATGTATATTCATATACAGATGTCCCCGACTTATTATGGTAATATGGTTTTGCTCTGTGCCTCACTCAAATCTCATGTTGAATTGTAATCCCCAGGTGTCAGGGGAGGGACCTAGTGGGAGGTGATTGGATCATGGGGGTGGTTTTCCCCATGCTGTTCTTGAGTTAGTGAGTTCCCATGAGATCTGATGGTTTAAAAGTATGTAGCAGTCCCTCCCTGACTCTCTGTCTCTCCTGCCACGACATATGACATGCTTTGTTTCCCCTTCACCTTCCACCATGTTTGTAAGTTTCCTGAGGCCTCCCAACCCATGCAGAACTGTGAGTCAATTAAACCTCTTATTACCCAGTCTCAGGTTGTTCTTTATAGTAGTCAGGTCATTCTTTATAGTGGTGTGGAAACAGACTAATACAGATGGTTTGACACGTAATTTTTGACTTTAGGATGGTTTGAAAAAACATATATTCATTACACTCCTTGACCTCAACTCTGGATGATACTTTCAATTTATAATGAGTTTATGCAGTCATAACTCCATCATAAGTTGAGGATTATGTGTACATACATACTCATATATAGATAATATATATAATGTAGTATGTGCAACATTATATAATATTATATATGTAATTAAAATTAAACTATTATCATTGTGGAGAATGGGAAGTAGGAGAGGGAAAAATGAACATCTGCCATAAAAGAATCAAAAACTAACTTTGTTAATGGATAACTAAAAATAAAATCCTAAGCCCCTCAACTCAGTAAACAGACACACTCCTTGGTCAAAACTGAGTTCCCTGCCATGACCGGATAAGACGTCAGATGCCTTGTTATGCTCCCGCTCTTTTGCAGTTTAGATACAACTGACCAGCATTAAAGTTAAAATGCAGACCATAAGACTGACAGAATGGGCTTTTTATAACTATAAGATACCAAATTATAAACAACATCTAAAGTCATGCTAGGCAAGAGTTAAGTCACACATCCCTACACTTAGAATAAACTATGTTCTAATTACCACCAGGATTTTGTTATTTTCTCCTTTTTCTCTAGCAGCTAAACAATCATTGCCCTTGAGATAAGTAACATTGAACAGTTGCAGAATGCCAACCACCAGACACTAACTGAGGCTCCCTGTTCCACAAGCCATAACTATATAGCTTTGATTGACAACAGACTGATTTCTGTAACTTTCTCTTGGTAAGAGACCACCAACCATGAACTGATTGTGGCTAATTTACAGAGGCTATGCATCCGAGTGCCTTCACTCATATCCCTGCTTCACCTTTTAATGTATAGGGTCCAACTGTAATATATTTAAATGTTAAGTCTCCACCTCAAAGCGAGCATTGGATACATGTTAGCATGTTTGCTTATGACCCATGCCTGAGACTTCCCATTTATAAATATTCATAGTTCCTCCTGTATCCTCTTGAGTATGTATACTTGCCCAACTCATTCACCATAAATTCCTGTTTTATCCCTTCCTCCCTCTAAGAGCTTGCTTTCAATTCTCAGCTGGAGGATGTGCTTCCCACCTGCAGGTGATAATCCCCTTCTTAAGCAATAAAGCTCTCTTTTCTAAATTTATAAATTGAGTGATTTGTTTTTCTGTTAACTTAGATAATTAGAGAAAAATTGGCTAAATCATTTATTTGAAAAAATATCAAATGTAACTACAGGTGGAATTAAAAGCTGGGTAAAACGCAAAGTGAGATAACAGCATTTTTAAAGCATCCAGAAAAGTAGATTGTCTGCAAATTGATGAAAGAAATTTAGCCTGACTATGAGCTCTACCATGTAAACCATGTAAGCTAGATACAAGGGACAAAATACATTCAAATTGTTAGGACATGGTAATTGTCAGCTAAGAATTGAACACCCAAAGATCTTTCAAGTACTATGGCTAAATAAGAAATTGCCAGATAAACAAAAGGTGAGATAACTTACTATGCTTCCTTACTACTAAAGATGTAAGTACCTCAACCGGAAGTAAATGACCCAACAGGCATATCTAAGGTTCTGAACATATGGTGAAGCACAAAGTGGTGGTTATCTGTGTGGAAAAGTGAAGGAGGGGTATTACAGGAGAGGATCTGAGAGGGCAAAGAGTGTATTGCTATGAGACTGGAAAAGGTCTATTTTTCAAGTTGGATGATGGTTTCAAAGTTTGATTTTATAAGTTTCTGATTGAAAAGTTACATGTAACTTACGTGTATTTCTTGTGGCAAATACTACACCAATTTTTAAAGGATTAAAAAAAGAAAAGAAGAAAATTTCAATTGACTGATTTGTTTGATCTATATTATTTTGTAGGGAACAAAAAGCTGTACAACAAAAGGAGATAGATGCAATTCATGAAGTATTTTGAATTCTGGGCACTAAAAACTTATAGTTGGGCTAGGCATAATTTTCTATAGATAATTTATACATTTTAAAGGAATTTAGGGATATTGCTTACCAAAATGATTCAACCCTATTTCTCAATTTCCCCTCATCTTTCAGTGTAACATCATTCTTCCAAATCTTCAAATTTTTTTTTCTCTGTAACTTCATAACAAGTTCATCACTAAACATTATTCAGATCCAACCTTACCTCTTTATTTTATTCCAAATATCCATGGTTTCATCAGATCTACTATAAAATGTTTCAATAATGTTAGCTTATCTACTCAGATACATTTTGCAAACTACCAAGAAAAGAAACACCACAATGTTTTCATCAATTATTCCAACCCATAAAAACCCACATATACTTTCTGTTATGTACTTTAAAACATTAAATCGGAACTTGTATTAGTCTAAACCATTTGGCTATAATCTGAAACTCAGTGTTTTGTGTTTTTTGTTGTTGTTATGTAAGTGAAGGTTTAACATTCATCAATTCACAAAACTGAAGAGTCCAGGGCATCTGACTCAGGGTACAGCTTTATCCATGTGCTCAAATCACAACATCACTAAACTGTGTCCTTTCACTTCTATTTTCAGCTATCTTATGTTTTGACTTCTTTCTAAGGAATAATTTCACCATAAAATGACAAATATGTTTAGAATTAATCCATGTCTAACATTATACCAGTTTAACAACCCTTGTAAGAAGAACTCCCTGCTTTTATCAAATTAAGGAAAAGTCTCAGACCAGATTCCCACTTACATAGCTTGGGGCATGAAACCATCCTTTAAAGAGGCCAGGACCAGGTTACATATATAGTTCTTAGAGCAGAATGGGGAATATGGTGAATTTCACTCTAACAATGTAAATAGTAAGAAAGGGGTTATTTTCCACTCTTACATTAAAGTAATGATAGTAGAGGAAGGGAAAATAAACACTGAGCAGATGAGAAGAAAATATGTTTAATCCAGTAGATAATTCTTTTTTCTAAATTTTGAGAAACTTATCAAGTACAACTTTACATTAATTAATGCAATCGTATTTCCTCCTAATTGTTATCATAAGTTCTCTATCCCATTAAAGCAATCTCTTTAATGAATTACACAGGTGTCTCACCCATAGCCACCACTATGTCAGGCCAATTATAACTTACTTGCCTGGAAGGTCCCCTAATCTCTCTGCCTAAACTAGTCCTTGCTGACTGTAACTCTCCATACTATACGCGATATTGTATGCAAAACTACTTATCACACAGTAAATACTCAGCAATTATTTTCTTTCTTTCCTTCCACTATTTCATCTCCCTTCTTTCTCTCCTCCCCCACTTCTTCTGTTTCATTCAAATTTTCTTTCTTATTTTCCAAGACTTCCTGTAATATAACCTCATTTTAATGACTCCATATAGCTTATTAAACAACATATATTTATTAATAAATGAACTCTTTTTGCTTGCGTTAACTGAATCAGACAATTAGCACTTTATCCTTTGCAAATCTGACTTTCATGGCTTCACTGTAACCTCTAAACTGGTTAGGACTTTAAGTGAAATATTTTATTTTGTACATTGTGTAAAAATTAGCATAGTAGTGAGTGGCAATAAACAATCAGAAAGACTGCTAAAATAGAACAGAGAATATCTAAGTAATTGTTTCAATTCTATCACTCACAAGCTGTGTAATTTTGAGCAAATTAGTTACATTCTCTAAAACTATATTTTCTCATCTCACAAATGAGGATGTAGAGATCTGCCCTGCCTATACTAGGCATTTATTTTATCAATTAAATGAGATGATGCATGAGAAAGTGTTACTAACAATGAAGAACTAATGACCAATTATTATGATAGCTATTCAAAACACTTCCTGGAGTTGGACACTGGTATGCAGAGAGTGTCACATTGTCACAATAGCCTACATATAAAAATCACAATTACATCAAATGTGCTGAAGGACATTGTTAGTCCTTCAGAGGCACTAACTAATGAAGGGCAGAGAAAAACAGCGCTTTGTTTGTTCCCCAGGTACAAGAGGGGTATGAGTAAATAGTTTGTTTATAAACCTGAGACTATAAAAAAATGTCCAAATACCAATTTCACTCACAATATAGCACAGCCCCCTGAAATGTAACCCCAATGGCAAATGCCATCACAATGATTTTATAACTTATTCTGAGTTAGCCTGCAGATATGATTATTTTGCTACTGAAGGGATGACAGAATGAAATATTAGAAAGAATGTTTAAAATGTAGGACAGAAATATGGGAAATACTTGCTACGACTATATATATCCTAAATATGTTTTTTATATTCTGTGGAAACTATTGCTGCTGCTGCTTCTAATACCAGAGAAGGTAAGTCAGTGTCTGTCCTGAGTGGTGCCTTGTATACCTATGGCTACCTAGAGAGAGAATCCTTTGGGAAATATTCAGGAATCTTCTGTTATTTGCTTATCTTGCTCCCTATGAATTTGAAGTGGCTAGTCATAAAACTACTGAGCAAGAGTCACTTGTTTTATGCAAGTGCTCTGCTTAAGACAAAACAGACCATAGAGACAGAGTTTCGCTCTTGTTGCCCAGGCTGGAGTGCAATGGCATGATATCAGCTCACCGCAACCTCCGCCTCCCAGGTTCAAGCAATTCTCTTGCCTCAGCCTCCCGAGTAGCTGGGATTACAGGCATGAGCCACCACCCTTGGCTAATTTTGTATTTTTAGTAGAGACGGGGTATCTCCTTGTTGGTCAGGCTGGTCTCGAACTCCTGACCTCAGGTGATCCACCCACCTCAGCCTCCCAAAGTGCTGGGATTACAGGCATGAGCCACTGTGCCTGAAATACTACAGGCTCATTTTCATAGCGTAAGAGACTCCCCCAACACCCCCCCCAAATAACTCTTCTTAGCTCTACCACTTTTAATGTTACTTTATTTTTTTAACTTTGCTACTGACAACCTTGTTGCTAATTACTATTTCTGTCCTCCTGTACCCCCAGTTCCCCATGCTCTAGGCTAGGCCTAAACCTGTTTATGATTTATGGGTAAGTAATCAGCATGAATTCTTCTTTTTGAACATATTGCTTCAGCATTAACTGCTATAATGTATATATCCCTTATATACTCTCTATTAAGCGTCACTATAGTTTGTTCACTGTTCTTTTATACCAGCTATACCGCGTATGATTTCAGTCCCCATCTAGACAAGGGCAAGTAAGCATGGCCATCTCTTCTTTAAGTTTCTTTGAAACATGCTGGGAAAACTTGACCTGCTGATTTGTAGCCCTTTTCTCTCTGACAAACCTCACTCACTACCTTTTCATATTACCATGCCAACTGCACATTCCAGACTCAGTAGAAAAGCTCCTTAGGATGGCCCTAAGGTGTTGGCACTGCAGATATAAATCTGTGCTTAGTCTCCTCTCCATCATTCTGTTCCTCCTGCTGCAGCCCACTTTTCAAATGAACTGGAACATTAGCATAGCTTTCCACCGGGCATGACTCGAGGATGGGCAGGTGAGAGGCTAGGTATGTGACAAGGACAGCACAAAGTCACGTTAGACTGCTCTGTGGCAAAGAGGAATTAATCCAACAAAGTCATTTCAAAATATTGTATTTTCAATAATTGTAATAAAATAATATTAGCTGCTCCATTATGACTACCATCTATTGATTGCCTACCATTTAAGAGATGCCATATTAGTTTCAAATGTATAGCATTTTGCCAACTTTCACAATACCGTAGGAAGGTATTATTGCCTCAGCCTTATAAACGAGTAAACAGAGTACTGTTAACTTACCAAAAATTAAATCACTAATATGTAAGCATGGTTTAAGAATTATTCCAGGGTCATTTCACTCCAAAATTTTGCTGCTTGTTTTTGTAAGCAGAAGTAAACAAGTATGCTGTAGGACTAAGTAAGTCCTATCTATCTATCTATCTATCTATCTATCTATCTATCTATCTATCTATCGATATCTATATAGATATATATGTGTGTGTATATATAATATGTATATATCTGTGTGTGCATAAAGAAAGAGAAAGAGGTACATGGGCTTGTATATGTGTGTGTGTGTGTATAAATTGGGAGAGCAAAATACAGATGAAATAAGAGATGACAGGAGAATTATTTCAAAGTATTTTTTCTTATATAATGTGTTGACAATCATACATTTTTATGTTACTTTTAACCCAGCTATAGGAGTTAATGAGCCCTAAGAATTAAGGAATATGACTTCATAATGTATTTCCATGTTTCATCAATTGTATTAGATGGAAGGGTAAGACTAGAAGGCTCTCCAAATCAGGTCGTTCATGCCCAGAATTGTTCTTGGAAATGTACAGCTGTCTAAAAAATGACATCCAATCACTTCAATACAATGCTGACACCCCTATAGCAAAACTTCACAAACATGCTGCTAATACATTGGAAACATCTGGTTGAAAGTTTTATTAAATGTTACTTTCCAATAGACAATTACAACAATTGAATTATGCTATATTGAATTGTTGCAGAATGAGGTGAACATGGGTCTAGGAAATTGAAAATCTGAGTTAAGTCTGAAATTTCCCTCCTATTACCAATAGGACTATGAGCAAACAGACTAAATTATCACAGCCATAGTGATTTTATTTATAAAGTAGAATGATATTTATACATTTGTACAATTGTGAGGATGAAATGAGATAATGTGTATAAAGCACTCTACTAATGTTTGTATACTATTATTATCATTATGCTCTTTAAAACATAAAACAACATTGCATTGCAATTTTCCCACTGGTTCTGTTCTATACACAGATTGAAATAGAACTTCTTATTGTGAATTATAATGAAAAAAGTTGAGTAATTGTGAGTATAAATGTGAATAATAGTTTTTCAAGAGAATACTGGAAATAGCAAAGTTTCTGAAAAAACCCATTATATTTAAGTATATTAATGCAATTATAAGTAATTATAGAAGATTTTAACAAACATTGTTTTTTGGCTTGTTATATATATTAAATAACCAAAGACCAAAATAGAAAATTGAATTCCATAAAGAAGTCACTTCATAAATTATTCAATTTGAATGGTTTAAGCTGATTTAAGAATGGTACTCCTAGGTACCTCAATTAAGACAGCAGCCTAAGGTCAGTTTCAGAGTAAGCATGGAAATGTGAACCGTTTTGTTGCGTGCAACAGACTAGTATCTGAAAGTGACTTTTAGGAAATACAATTTTGTACAAACTCACGGAGCTGGCTTGATGTCAGTTATTATTCATTTTCATTTTCCAGTGTGCTTGATTTCTACCACAGCAGCAAAAATGTAAGTCAAAGAAAGGGCTGACCAAGTAATTACTGGTATTGAAATGTTGATTAATAGAGATGAAAATCTCATTTATATTAGTCACAGATACATTTAGGATAAACAGACAGACTTAAACTATGTGAAGGAAATTTATAAAATGGGAACTTTTCATTGAACACTAACAAAGGATTAAGAATTCACTTAAATAAAGCCTCTCACATTAAATATGCATTTTTATCTATAAAAAAATACTAAAACAAAACTTTCTTGCTCTTTAATATTGATGTAAAAGAATGTGTTATTTTTTTTCTTCCACCGCTTACCTTATGGTAAAATTTACTATTTTTATCTGCAGATAAACTTCAACAATCTAAATTGACCATATTTCAGTATTTAAACAATCTCCAAACAAAACCAAAACAATAAAACTGTATCACATAGAAAGTCATTGCAGAAATTTTATTATTTAAAATTACCTGGTGAAAATATCCTGTTTTAACTGGTATGAAAAAATGCTTCAAAGTCTATCTCACTAGTTCAGATAAATTTTACATATTATTTTAAATGGCAGATAAATTTTGTATATTGTGTTGTTAACACATAAACATTTGGGCAAAGTTTTAGCTTATATTCATTTGCTCTTTGAATTTTTCTAACAAAAATGATAAGCAGGAGCAGCAAGATTTCACTGCATCTAAGCAATAGCTTCTGGGGAGAGGCTCAAGTTGGATGTTCATGAATAAAAATCTCTATTCAGAGAAATGTTTACCTTTTAAGATTATCAAACTGAAAATAATCTGAAGATAATAACATCTTTTTTTGTAATGCCACCAAAATTTTCTCTTGAAACATCAAATCTAGTTATGGAATACTCATTAGTAAAATCACTCAGTGGTACCTTGTGATAAGTAGGGTGAAGCTTGGTATTCTGATCATGATATAAAACACTGTGCATGTCCGAATCACTTGGAGAGCTTGTTCAAACACAGATTTCTAAGCCTACTAAGTAGCAATGAGATGTGGTTTAGTAGTATTTCTAACAATTTCTCAGGATGCTGATGGTGCTGGCCCAGGAGCTTAAGACTAGCCTAGACAACATAGTGAGACCTTGTCTATACATTTTTTTTTTTTTAATTTACCAGGCATGATGGCAAACACCTGTAATCCCAGGGACTTTGGAGGCTAAGGTGGAAAGATTGCTTAAACCCAGTAGTTCAAGATTGCAGTGGGCTATGATTGCACCACTACACTCCAGCCTGGGTGACAAAGTGAGACCCTGTCTCTGAAAAAAAAAAAAAAGAAAAAAGAGAATTGTTCTATTGTTCCAGCTACTTGTATTTCCTGACCAACTCAACTGCATCGTGTTTGTTGTCTCTCTAATTATTCCTTATGCCACTTTCTCTGCCCAGAAGAAATACATTTTGTCTTCCACATGCCTAACTCTGAATTGTTATTCAAAACAGAACTCAAGAAAACCTTTTTCTTTTTCTTACTTTTTTTACTCCTTAGTCCTTTAGGCTGAGTTAGAAGCCTCTCTTCTGTGCTCTCATAGAATCCTGTGCATGTGTCCATTATTTTACATAGCACAATGTATGGTAATTGCTTGTTTTGTAACCTTTCCACCAGGTTCTGAATGTCTTGAGGGCAGAGACCATGTATAGTTAATATTTGCATCTCTAAAATCATTATGATATGGGGCATTCCAAAAAATTTACGTTGATTTGAAATGCTCTCTTGTGCTTCTTCTACATACAAACTTTAAAAAATGATCAACAAATACACAGTTAGCAAGAAAGAATTGAGGGCAAAGAATATGCCAGACAAACTCAAGAGGAAGATGATGGTAGAGATAGGTCACATTGGAGTGTCAAGTAAGTGCAAAGTCAAGCTTTCTGACAGGTGCTACCTAGAGGAAGGCTAGTTTAAGAGAAGGTCAAGGACAGACTAAAATTAGGCGAAGGTGATTCCTTTGTGTAGGTCTTGATATGTAGGCATAGCCTTCAATGTCAGATTCTGAAATATACCTTCTTGCTTTGAGAATATAAACTTCTTTACCAATTACAATATATTAAAATTGCTTTTTAATTACAAAAGAATTTTGTTTTATTTTAGCTCTTATTCAAGAATTTGGATACTACTGTAGTTTAATAGCCTCTAAATAGTACTCACACAGCCACATGATTTCTTTTTCCTATATAGATACTACCTGTCTCATAGCTGGATTGATCTTAAGTGTTCTCAAACTTCAGAAATGCTCAAAGTATTATATTTCATTTCTGGAATAATGGAAAGATTGCAATCCCCCATTATTTATATTTTAATCTGCAGTTTTGTCATTTTACATTGGAAGGTAAAGGGGAAGTTTGCAGAAAATGCTGCAGGCAGTTCTGCATACCACATTTCTGTATGAAAAATAAAGTTCATGCAAGGTAAAAGAGACAGGGAAAAGGGTCAAGGAAATAAAAACCTTGGGAGTTATTAAGGTGAGCCATTTTCAATTTATAAGACATAGATAACAACAACTAGAATGTAGAAAAATAAATATTTTTATTAAGTATCCTTGAAGCTTCAGATTCAAAAATACCACCAAATCTCTCTGGGGAATTTGATTGCCAGGCTGCACTTTTGTCGAAGACAATTAGGGCTCACAAGAAAGCAATGCGATGATCAATAAGACTTTATGGGTTGTACTTACTATATAATGATATCCTGGGAAAACCTAGGGCAAACTAATGGTTCTCATGGCTGATGGAGCTCATGGGCCCTTTAGCGTCTCTCTACAACCTTTTCTGCATTTATTTCTAGTGGCCGTTTTAAGGCTGTGTGTATGCACTATCCATTTAGCCCAGGAAGTATGGGGCTCACAGAGAATCAAGCCAGTAGTCAGGAGGACTGCTGCAGGAATGTGGAGATGAAGAATCAATGTACATTGGAAGTTTTGTTATTCGTGTCAGAGAATTAGAATGTACCACTGGCTCTTGAGGCTGAAGGTATTTATGCACATGGGTAAGGATATGTTCTTAGTTGTGCCCCATCTACACTCACAAACCCTTAAGAAGGAGTTGGCTGTTCCTTTCCAGTACCTTTTTCAAGCTGAGAAAACAAAGATGAAGATTAGGTAATGAGTGTGTGTTGGCAGTGGCGGGGGAGTTGAGAGAGTTTGGGAAAATTGGGAGGAGCACACAAAGAGAAAGCAAAATATCGTAAAAGGAAAAAATAAGGTCTTTTAGCTTCTATATGCCTTCAGAGAGGAGGTTCTCTGTGCTGCTAATCATTAAAATGTTACTATATCAATAATTTGAAAAAAATCGCAACTTTATATTTTTAAGCTAAGTTCTATTTTTATTGAACAAACCTACCATTTTTAATCAGCTGCTAACATTTGCATTTAATATTCTACGCTATGATTTGAAACTAGCCTCAATTCATTCAGCTAAAATGAATCAAAGGAAAGGGGAAAAAAGCATGCTTAAAAGGATTAAATTGCTATAACTGAAAAAGAACATTAGGACTGAAAATGTCAAGGAATGGGTTGGAATTTTTTAAATTTGTCATATTAAAACACTGTTTTTAGCCATATACATCATTCTATATGTATATTATAGGCTGGTTATTCTTAGTATTGTTCCTACTTTTTTTTTTCTTTTTGCATCAGCAGGCTATTAGAAGGACTGCTCTGAAAATATACTTGAGTGCTTTTTTTCGGTAATGGAGACCAATATAATTTTTGAATCAAATTGCACGATGTTCCTCAGGAGCTATAAGACAAAGAGGTAAGAAAGAGGGAGAAAAGAATTATATGTCAAAATATAGTGAGGACAAATTCATGCAAAACTCAAAAGGAGATTTTTTTTCTTTAAGTCTTAATTCTAGAAAATTCCAAGTATTATCATTCAATTCAACCTTTGAGAGGGTATCTGTCTTACTCTTCATTTGTGCTGAATTTGTCCTAATGCCTTTGCCAGTAACAGACAGATAGATTGATGGCATCGTCACTAACTTCAATTCAGGAGTTGGTCCAAGAGATCCCACATCCCATTAATGACTAAAAATTAGGGTTAACCTTTAAAAGCAAAAGCCATGTCTCCATATTCTTTTGTTTTATTTCTTCCCTTAAGGTCAGAAAGTTTGACTCTCTTCTATACCCCTTAACAACTCCTTCAAAAATTATTTTCTGCTGATTGACAAGAGATGGTGACATAAGATAAATTATCTCTTTTGGTTTTCTGTCTTTTTTTTCTTTTTGTTCTATATTCACTGATCTTTTCTCTGCAGTTTTCACTTGTCTCATCTTTTTGCCATAATTGTTTAATGCCTCAATTTAGTTACACTTTTCATACTGTGCTCGAAAGATGACATGGCTCATCTTGAAAAAGCAGCAATTATTGTGCAGGACACAGTTGCATAGTCTGGAACAATTTCAGAAAAATAAAATGAAAATATTTATGAGCACATATAATAAATAGGAAAGGCACTGCGGTGGGTGCATTTGAGGATACCAAGAAATATAAGCATTTCCTGCTCTTAAAATGCTTAAATCTATCCATTTGGGAACTCAAGCCGTAATTACAAAACTTAAATATCAGAAATAGATTTAAATGGAAGTGAATGCACCATTAGGATAGGAAGCAACCTGAAGTAAGTGATTAATTACTAAAAATGTGGTGAGCACATTAGGCATTCAGAGGACAGAAATATCACTTCATTTTGGAATGGTGAGAGAAAGACTCATGATTTTGTAGTCTGATATCATAGAACAGATTTGGGTAGGCTGTGGTGGTAAGCCTTAGAGAGTGAAGGCCAATGAGGGGGTTAGCGGAAATACTGTAAGGTTATTCAAGCAAGACACATGGTAAGGGAAAATCTCCAGACGGAGCAAATAATTGCAGTTTTGTGGATAGTGAACATTCAGTTTTGGAGAGAGAAGAAAAGTTACATACCAACATATCAAGATTCTGGGAACTATCTCCCAGCCAATGGGGAGTCAGAGGCATGGTTTCTGATCAAGAAAGTGACATGATCACAGCAGTGTTTTCTGAAGATTAATCAGATATCATTATGTGTTGGACTACTTGGAATAATAAGGCTGCTCACTGAATTAGAAAAAAAGGATATTGAAGGAGGGAGGGACATGTGTTTGGTATTAGGGCTTTGTAAAAGCACTGAATGCACCAGAGATTCTCCTGAGGGGCTGAGAAGAGGGAAAAACATTCCTTCCTCTTTATACCATGGTAAGCTTCTGCAACTTATGAAATACTCGAGTATGTATGAAAACAAAAATAGTTAAGATCTGCTGAGTTAAAGAGTGATATCTTCATATCATAATTCATTTATATTTAACTTTTAACAAGTGGAGACTAGGGGATAGCACAACCAATAACCCATTCCCATCCACACCTCACTCCCTATGTAAACACACACATGCACAACATTGAACCCCTAGTTCAAGATGTCAAGAAGAGGTGATGTTGTTTTAACTCCCTTCCCAAATAAATCTGAAAATAGGAACAAATAGGCATGAATGATTGAAACGAGGGGAGATGTCTTTCACACACATGCCAGAAACTTACAGCACTCTTTACAAGAAAAAGAAAAGAACATGCAAAAGTGCATGAGGGGGCTCATTACATTGAGAGTAACTACACATAAAGTAACATTTTATTCCAGCTAAAACCAATAGTTCACCAGACTCCAAGGAGTTGGAGCTGGATCTAAGACATGGCATGGTTGAGTCTGTGGTGCAGAAGCCTACGTGTGGCAGCCACAACACACAGTTGGCAAAGATTACCTATTGAGGAAGAGGCTGGGAGAAGGGGAACAGCATTAACTGCTGCTGTGACTTTCCTCTAATGCGGAAATTGAGTCAGATCAATCCTTCCCCACAATAACTGTCTCATTACTACGAGCAATGGGATATCTGTGCGATGTTGACTAAATAACTGTGTGCTAAACATTTTTTCAGGCCTTGGCCTTAACAGGGAAATGCAAAACTAGTCACAGCTCTTGCTCTTCTGAAACTTATAATCCAGAAGGAAAAATTATAATATATTAACTAATCACACAAATAAATGTGTAATTTAAAAGTATTACAAGCAGTATGAAGAAAATAAGAGGCATCCCTGACAGTGTATGTATGTGTGTACACATGCATCATGAGAAAATGATATGTTTAGAAAACATCCCTGAAAAATAGGCATTTTCGTTCAGATATAAGAATGAGTAGGTATTAACTAGGTAAATGAAACTGAAGATGAGACATCTGGGGAAAAGGGAAAAGCATGTGCTAAGGCACATAGGGAGGAGAATTGAAGACTTGAGAGTGCAAAAAGACTGCAGATTTGGCTAGAAAAGCACGCGAGGGCAAAAACATGGCATGGGAGGAAGCCACCATGGTGGGCATAGTGAACAGGAAGTTAACAAGATGGGCACTGACTACAGTAAGACCTCAAAAGATTTTATATTTACCCTATGCTGTGCTCTGAATATTTGTGTCCCTCTGAAATTTATATGTTGAAATTTTAACCTTCAAGGTCATGGTATTAAGAGGTGGGGCTTTGGGAAGGTGATTAAGTCATGAGGTTAGAACCCTTATTAATGGGATTAGTGCCCCCATAAAAGAGATCCCAGACAGCTTCTTTGCCCCTTCCACCACGTGAGGACACAGCGTAAAGATGACTGTATATATAACAGGAAGCAGGCCCTCACAAACACAGTATCTGCTGGTACTTTGGCCTAAAAATCCCCAGCCTCAAGAAACACGAGAAATAAATTTCTGTTGTTTATAAGCCACCTAGTCTATGGCAGTTTGTTTATAAGCCACCCAGTCTATAGGAGGCTGAATTGAATGAGATACCTAAGAAATTGGTAGCCAGTAAAGGATTTTAAAGTGGGGGACATTTTGAAGTAATTGCTCCGACTAGGGTTTGGGTATAATAGACTAGAGGCAGGCAAGTGTGCTTGCAGGACTGTCATTCTAGAAGCCACGGCAGAAGTCGAGGTGAGCGATGACATGCTGCTGGAGATACAAAGATGAGCTCAGAAGCTACTTAAGAGAAATATTCAACATTGATAATTGGTGGATTATATATTGGAGGTAATATAAAAAGATATTTCAACAGTGAATTATCAGTTCTTACTTGCACAATAGAGTTGGAGGGATGATTCACAGATGAAGGACATCATGGAATAGAAAGGACAAGGCCTTTTCAAGAAGGGGTTGGAGAAGCTTATGGCTTCAGTTTGGACTTACTACATATGAAAGTGCCTGTGAAACAACACAGTGTTGAATAGCTCTGTCAGGCACGAAGAATAAATCTGGGCTCAACATAGAAAATTGAAAATTACTTATATTTTTGATGGTATACATAAACATGGGGAATATGGTATCATTGAAGCAAAGGAAAATAAAAATAGGACTAAACTCTGAAAAACTCTGGCATTTAACATTACAGATGGGAGCATCAATCTACAAAGTATATTTAGAAAAGAGATGGGAGAAAAACTAGAAGAGTGTGATGTTTCAACTCAAAGGAATACAAAATATAAAGGTAGAAGGATTTGTCAATAATGGCAACTGTGCTTAAGGAGTCCAGTAAGAGAAGGAATTAAGGATCCAGAAATCAGCCCCATGATAATATTTCGTGACTAAAATTTAAAAATTATTATTATACAGTAACACTGATAGTTTAGTAGTACTGTTTAATACATTTTATTACATGTATAGATTCATATAACTATCTCCACAATCATAAAATGCAACCATTTCAATACCCCCAAACTTCTTTATGCTCCCTCTTCATAATTATATCCTCCTCCCAAGTCCAAACCCTCACATTGATCTCTTCTCTATCACTATAGTTTTGTCACTTCCAGAATGTCACATAAATAGAATCATATAATATATAACATTTTGAAACTTGTTCCTTTCACTCAACATAAGGCTATTGAGATTCATCCAAATTTTTGTGTTGTTCATATCAAAATTTGTTTAATTTTATTACTGAGTAATGTTCCATTGTACAAATGTACCACAGTTTAAATGTCTATTCATCTATTGAAAGTCAGCTGGTTTGTTTCCCAGTTGTTAGTGATTATAAATAGAATTCCTATAAACATTCATGTACAGATATTTGAGTGAAAAGAAGTTATTTCTCTAGAGAAATATCAATAATAGGATCATAGGGTTATATGGTAAGCATATGTATAACTGCACAAGAAGTGGCAATACTTTTCCAGAGTAGTTGTACCATTTTGCCCCCCAACAACAATACATGAGAATTCTAGTTGTTCCACATCCCTGCCAGCACTTTGCAGTACGGATATCTATCTATCTATTTATCTCTCTAGATATCTATATACATTGTTGTCCTTTTTATGGGTATGTCATGGTCTCCTATGAATTTAATTTGTACTTCTCTACTGACTAATGATGCTGAAGATAACCATCTTATCAATCATCTAGATATATTCTTTATATTCTTTGGTGAAGTGTCTATTCAATTATTTTGCCTATTTCTAATTAGAATTTTATTTTCTTAAATGTGAGTCTTGAAAGTTCTTTATACATTTAGGATGCGATTCATTATAATATATGTGATGTGCAAATATTTTCTTCCAGACTATAGCTTGTCTTCTCAGTTTTGTGAAAGTATTCTTAACAGAGCAAAAGTTTTAATTTTTATGAAGTTCAATTTATCTTTCAGAGAGAGAGAGTGTGTGTGTGTGTGTGTGTGCGTGTGTGTGTGTGCATGCACGTGTGTGCGCGTTATAATTTTGGCATCATGTCTAAGAACTTTTCGCCTAAGTACAGTTCAGGAATATCTTCTCTTATGTTTTCTACTAAAAGTTTTACACTTAAGTAATTTACATTTAGGTATATGATGCATTTTTTGTTAAACTGTATGTTTGGTTTAAGCTGTAATTTTGTTTTTGCATATGGATTTCCAAATGTGATCTATAGTACTGTCGAAAATAATATTTTTTCTCCAGTAAGCCATGAAAATAAAGTACCAATGTAGTCACAAAATGCTTATAACAGATTTCAATCCCTTAGATTTTCCCCCATAAAATGGCAACATATACTATGTTATGCAATACCTCATTTAGATTTGAACAAATTTTATAATTATTGATATGTTTCAAATCAGTTTTCCTTTGCTTTATTTGCTTTATTTGGACTAGTTTTTATTATACATTGAATATATATAAAATATTATTTAGTATATGGGTAATATATCAAGAAAAAAACTAAAATGAGGCAATAACTAGAAAGATTCCAAATTGTTCTATACCTAGGATAAACCAACAATGGTACATACATACAATGGAATACTATTTAGCACTAAAAAGGAACAAACTACTATTGATCCATGCAACAATATAGGTAAATCCCAATTACATTATGCTAAGTGAGAGAAGTCAGAATCAAAATGCTACATGTTTTATGACTTCATTTAAAGTTTATTCTATATAAGGTGAAACTCTAGAGATGGATTATAAATCAGCAGTTGACAAGAGTTCATAGTTAGGGGAGGGTATGGCTCCAAAGGGGTAGCACAAGGAAATTTGCAGGGATGGGATGGTATAAATCTGTATCTCATCTTGGCTGTGTTAATGGTTTCATAACTCTATGCATTAGTCAAAACATTAGTCTTTTTTAACTAAAGGCAAAAGGAGTAAATTTTACTATATCCAAATTAAAAATACACTTTAATAAAATAAGCATGTGTATATTTTCTCTCACATTTGAAAAATAGAATGTTTTTAATGTATTGGAAGACCTCTATAGATTCCCCACATTCCATAGTTAAACACTATCCTGTGTTCTGAAATTATGATTCCCTTGATTTTCCTTAGTGTTTCTCCTTATATGAGTATATCCTTAAACAATATAGAGGAAGGCAGACCAAGACGGCTGAATAGACCCTTTCACCAATCATCCTTCTTGCAGGAACACCTATTTAACCACTATCTACGTTTAAAAAGCATTTTCTTAAAAGGCAAAAATCAGGTGAACAATCACAGTACCTGGTTTTAACTTCCTATCACTAAAAGAAAGATTGAAGAGAGTAGGAAACACAGTCTTGAATTGGTGATGCCAGCTCTCTCTCATCCCCCTGGCAGCAGCTGCATAGCACAGAGAATCTGTGTGCTTGGGGAGAGAGACCACAGCAACTGTGGGACCCTGCATTGAACTCAGTGCTGCTCTGTCACACTGGAAAGCAAAACTGGGCTAAACTCAGGTGACACCCATGCACTAGGGGGCATTTAGACCAGCCCTAGCCAGAGAGGAACCACCCACACCAGTGGTCAGCCTCGCCACCATGGGCTAATATGCTCTGGGGTTCTAAATAAACTTGAAAGCAGTGGCTATTTGAAAACAATCCTATGGTTTTTGTCCTTTATTCTATTGATATGCTGTATCCCATTGATTGATTTGCATATGTTGAACCATCCTTGCATCACAGTAATAAATAACAGTCATGATGAATCACCTTTTTAATGTATTTTTTAATTCAGTTTCTTAGTATTTTGTTGAGGTTTTTTGCATCAATATTCATTAGAGATATTGGCCTGCAGTTTTCTTTTCTTTTCTTTTCTTTTTTCTTTTTTCTTTTTTTTTTTTTTTGATGTGTCTTTGTCTGGTGTTGGTATCAGGGTAATATTGACCTCATAGAATGAGTTTGGAAGTATTCCCTCCTTCTCTATTTTTTGGAATAGTTTGAGTAGGATTGGTATTAGTTCTTCTTTAAATGTTTGGTAGAATTCAGCGGTGAAGTCATCACATCCCAAACTTTTCTGTACTGGGATACTTTTTCTTACACCTTTGATCTCATTACTTCTAATTGGTCTGTTCATGTTTTGGATTTCTTCCTGGTTCTATCTTGGTAAGTTGTATGTGTCTGGAAATTTGTCCATTTCTTCTAGGTTTTCCAATTTATTGTCATATAGTTGGTCATAGTATCCACTAATGATTGTTTGAATGTTTGCACTGTCAATTATCATGTCTCCTTTTTCATCTCTGATTTTTTTATTTGAATCATTTCTCTTTTTTTCCTAAATGGTCTGGCTAAAGTTTTGTCAATTTTATCTTTTCAAACAACCAACTTTTTGTTTCATTGATCTTTTGTTTTGTGTTCTTTACTTTTTTTTCACTTATTTCTGCCCTGATTTTGTTATTTGTTTTTGTCTACTAATTTTAGGTTTGATGTGCTCTTGCTTTTCTAGTTTTTCAAGGTGCACATTAGATTGCATCAATGGTTACTCAAGTCCCTTATTTGCATATAATATGCATATATCCTCCCATGTACTTTATATCATCTCTATATTACTTATAATATTGAATAAAATGTTAATGCCATGTAAGCAGTTATTTTCTGTATTGTTTTAAAATTTGGATTACTTTTATTGTTGTATCATTATTTTTTATTGTTTTTGTTTTTCAGAATACTTTTTTGTCTATGGTTGGTTGAGCCCAAAGTTGTGGAACTCACAGATATGCAGGGCCAAGGGTATTTTGGTAGATTTTTAGTATAAGGCACATGCATATGCCAAGGGGAGAAGTTATGAATACTGTCTGAAGCTCATGCCTCATTATAATAACCTCCTAAAAGACATTTCTTCCCTCCCTTGCCTTGACATTCTCTCTACTGATTATACTGAAGTCAGAGTTATTTTTCTGTAACCTGGTATTGTTCATGTCATTAACCTGACTAAAAACCTTTAATAGTGGCCCTTAGGGTTAAGTTTAAAATTTTTTAACAAGATTTACAGGGTCTATCAAGACTGACTTTTCTTCCTCTTATCAGCCTTATCTCTGTCAGAACCCACTCACACTCTTCATTCCATCCATTCTTTGAGATTCTAAACAATATTCCCCAATATCATGTTCTGTTCTTTGCTTTGAGGCCATAGCTGTGAGCTGGAATTTCATATTAATGTACTAGAGACGGATGACACTGTGGCCTGAACCACCTCTTTGTACAGTTTACTCTGTCCTTTCAACCTGATCCCTGAAATACCACTTTGGTTTCATAAATGTATTCCTGCTGGGCCTCTAGGCCTTAAAATTTGGTGAGTTTTATAGAAGGCACTTATGATGGGCTGGGCAATTTTACCAGAATCACTTGATGTATCATCACCAGATGCCTCACTGCTACTTAGGCACAATAACATGCCAGGCACCTCTTTTGAAAGAATATCTGCTGCAGATGGGATGGATTTGCTCTAGAACCCTGGGAGTCTGTGAATCTGTCATGGTGACTTGTCATAGGCTCAACACAAAATGTTTTTCTGCACAGAAACTCAAGTACCATGGATTCTGATGGGTGCTGTGGCCTGAGTCACAGTGCTGCTTGTACCTTTTCCTGAAAAACTTAAAGTAACTGGCATATTCAATTGGAAGACAAGACTGCCCTAATCATTCTGAACACCTTATCACCTTATGCCATTCAACCAATGGGCAAAATAAATAAATAAATACATAAAATAAAGAATGATTTGACTAGCTGGAGTAATTGCTCTCAATTATCAAGAGGAAATTGTGTTGCTACTATACAATATAGACAAGAAAAACTGTATCTGGAACCCAAAAGATTTTCTGAGGGTTGAGATTGCGTTTAGTGCTTCATTGTCAGCTCAGGTTCTGGCAGAGAGGAAAGGAAATGTGTTATGGGGAGCAGAAAAATGAAGCCATAAATATTATAGCTTTGTGATCAATTACAGAAATGAAGACTATAATATGTTTGCATATTTTTCTTTGCTTGTTGCATGTGTTTAATTCTATTAACTAGCCATGTTCCTTTTTCTCTCTCTCTTTACATTTTTATTTTATACATAAGTTGTAGGAGAATAACTTTGACATTTAGTCTTAGATAACAGAAGTTTCAGGAATTTTCTGATGAAATAGGATAATGGCTACAATGACTGTGCAACTTAGTATCTGGGGAAATGGCTAAAACAATTTCATTCCTAAGGACAGCCATATCTTCTTGTTAGGTGGAAAGATAAAGTTGTTTCTTTATGTTGTGTGATAAAGTTGTCATACAGAAGTTCAAATATATATAGCAGGGCGCATATAAAAGTACCTAAAAGAGGTGTCTCTTTCACTTATTAATGTATTCCTTCGCAGCTCCTAATCTACTCTTTGTTATCTACACCTACACGACAATAATGGGGATTGTGCTTGTAAGCATTTCCTTTTCCTTCAAGTACAACTTTTTTTTTTCCTTTTCTTTTCTTTTTTTTCTTTTGAGATGGAGTCTCCCTCTGTCGCCAGGCTGGAGTGCAGTGCCGCGATCTTGGCTCACTGCAACCTCCGCCTCCCGGGTTCAAGCGATTTTCCTGCCTCAGCCTCCTGAGTAGCTGGGACAATAGGTGCATGCCACCACGCCCAGCTAATTTTTGTATTTTTAGTAGAGACGGGGTTTCACCATGTTGGCCAGGATGGTCTCGATCTCTTGACCTCATGGTCCACCCACCTCAGCCTCCCAAAGTGCTGGGATTACAGGCATGAGCCACCGCGCCCAGCCTCCTGCAAGTACAACTTTAAACTTTGATAGTAAAGAGTTCAAGAAGGACATTGCAAGAGAAAAAGGTATTTCTTTCTGGTCATGAGGTCCTTTCTTTTACTTCTTTTTTCTCCTATTGCATTCGCTATAGAAGCATGGGGCTGGGGGGAGGAATATCAAGTGATATTCTGCCCCAGCTGGGTACCCAGAGTGTGCAGTCCCTCAGTGAGACTGAGTCCCTAACCCCAGCAGATTGGTGACCAACTCATGGTGGCCCATTCATGCAGACAGTATACAACACAGACTTTGTGCTATCCTGCCCAAGAACAGGGTGTGATTCCTTCTACACATTACTCTACCAGCCCCTATACACCTGCACTCTGGGAAGTTATTTTCTGCTTGACAATCCCTGCCACAGTTTCCTGCACACCTGTACCCCTCATAGCTGTGCCAGTCTCAGCCAACTTGTTCTCCTGAAACCTATTTCTTACTTGCCAGTTTGTTCAATAGTTCCCTTTTTGCTACCTTAGTCCATATACCATCAGAGGTATTTACTGTTTAATCCATGACTGAAAAAACACAGGCCTGGGACAACCCAGTGAAGTTCTCCACCATCCAGTTGGATGCAACTACACCTTCTCCACTAAGGTCTGAATCCTAGCTTTGGAAGGGGGCTCCCTTCCGAATTTGCTCATTCCATTGTTGTGGTCTTTCAGCTTTAGGACATTATTTGGAATTCTCTTTACCCTTTATATTTGCTCCCTAGTCATAGTTAATAATTTTTATATTAAACTTTCCCTGCTCAAATTGTGACTTCTATCTCCTAATATAGCTCTACTGTTACAGATTCAACTGAATTTGAAAAATATAGACATGCAGTATTATAAATACAGTGCTCTTTTGCAATATACAATATCCTAGGAGGACAGAAGATTGTATAATACAGGGAAAGTAAGTAAGGCAGATGTGAAGGAAACTCAGAGAGTTAATACCATAGAAAGTGCGAGTGGAAAAATTAGCTCCAACAAAATAAAATGGGATTTAGTCTTTGACATTTCCTCTTATACTCAATATTCAAGTCATTATCCGTTCCCATCAATTCTTTATCCAAACTATGGTTTGAATCCTTTTTTCTTCTTTCCTTCTCTGCTACCCTTTGAAACCAATCAGGTATCATCTTTCCTTTTCATGCCAATTAAGCCTTCTAACCAATCAAACCAGTTCCCTCTTGCATTCATCCAAACTGTTCTTTACATAGGAAATTATTTTGTTTTCTTCATAACATATTATAAACATTAAAATAATTTTATTGAAATTTTTATTTTCTTATATGTTGTTTTGTTATTGCTGTCTCATTTTTAGTTTCCAAACTCTATAAAGGATTGAGTCAGTCTTGTTCATCACATCTGTAGCTTTGCCAGAATGTTGGCATATACGGTATAGATAAAACACATATTTGGTAAATGGGTGAATGAATGACAGGGAATTAGAGGTCTATTTTTGATGGGTTCTTTGTATTGATGTGTAAATCTTCCAAATATTTTAATGCATTGAAAATGAAAAGGAACTGTCCCTATAACATTGGTGCCTACAGAGTAATAGGACAAGATGCCACATACTAGAATAATTTTCGGACAAGACAATACAATGAGTATTATTGTTTGAGGGAATAAAATTGTATGGCAGTTTGAAGAAAGGGAAATTATTAAGAAAGTTTCATAATTAAAAAAAGATATTGCAAGTAGAAATTGTAAGAATGAGTAGAATGCCAGAAGGTGAGGAATCTATGCAGAGAATAGGATTAGAAAAGATGAGGGATGCAAAAAATTAAGGGTACATCTTAGGAAGGGTAGGTCTAAATTAGCTGACTATAGGTTATATTAGGAATGAAACATGCAGTTTTCAAAAAATAGGCAAAGGAGGATTAGAGAGGGAAGTATATAGCAACTTTAGTTGACATCTGTCATTCTTTGTGGTATCTAGCTACTGAACCTTTTCCTGTGTGTGTGAAATCCACCAACTTTTGAGGCAAAGCACACATCCAACTTTAGAAGTAGAAATTGCTAGATAATTGCTTTCTGTGTTTGTCTTTTACATTGAGTTCAGGCAGAGGATATAGGGCAATCAGATAAGCACATTCAAACTTTTGAATCTGAAGGGAATGACCAAGTAGATAGATATGGTTGCAATGGGGTCAGCTAAACTTATTTTCTAAAGTTGTCCATGGGTATAGCTTCATTAAAAGCATCCACTTTTTAAGTATTGATGATAGCAGGGAAACATTCTTAATATCTGTAATAAATCAGTTTAGCAGCATAATTTTGAATATTTTTCTCCAAAAGGCATGACTTCTAGATATGTTTCTCAAGCCCTGCCATAGATTGTGGGTTTCTCAATATCCTTCTAATGAAATCCATTTCTGCCAAATGATTCAGGTTTCTGGTTCCTATTACTTATACCTAAGAATCTATTACTTGTACCTAAGAACCTTGACTGGTATACTAGACTAAGAGGTTCAAATTTTGTACAGTTGAAATCAACAATAATTGAAATAATTTTAACTGGAAAGTATGTTGATTAGAGATGTGAATTAGAAAGATTAACCTAGAAACAATTTGTAATCATCACAGAAGCCAAGAAAGTCTTGAGGTAGTAAGACAAGAACACGATAGAAGGCAAAATGTATAGTCAGTTCACAGAAAAAGCAATGCAAATTACTTATAAGCATACAAATAGATGTTCAATCTTATTTACAAAAAACAAAATGCAAATTAAAACAATAAGGGAATAGATTGGAAAATATTAAGGAATGATAACATAAAAGTTAGGAGAATGTGGGGAAATAGCATCTTCATACAATACTAGTTAACAAATACCTTGCTTTAGCTAATTTGGAGATAATTTAGAAATCTCTGCACATGCATGTTTTTTTGAACAATACACATAAAACCATGATATAGAGAAAATGGGCTATTAGTGGTGGAAGAGAACTTTAAATTTAATTATAATTTATTTGTATTATGAGTAAAAATTATTTTGATAACCAAAAAAAATAAGAGAAAAATGTTGAGGCCATAACTGAACAGAAGAACACCTTGAATAGGAAAAATAAAGAATTTTTAGAAAATGACAATATCAAGATACAACTCAGACTCCAAGAGAAAATTACTCTAGGAAATGACTGGATATATGAATTAAAGAACAGAGAGAAGTAAAATGATTTTTAGGCATGTAGAGCCCAGGTGATTGGAAAAAATAGGATTGTCATAAACAAACAAGAGAAATTAGAAAAAGAAATGTATTGTAATTGATAAAATGAATATTGTTTAGAATGTGCTATGTTTAAGGGATCTATTAGAATGTTCAGCTAGATATCCCAATGGACCATTATAGTTTGCAGACTAGATAAGTCAAGAGATATCATGGTTCAGATTTAGGAAGTAGGTGTGATTGTATCTGTGGGATTACCAAAGAAGAGAGACCAAATCAGAAAAGAAGTGTGACTTTCGAACCTAGGGACAGTGGAAAAACAGGAAAAGTCAGTAAAGAAATGGGCAGGAGCAGCTTGTGTGTAAAGAAGCAGAATACAATACCTTTATTGGTCACAGGGATGATAGTTTTAAAAAGACAGTCAGCTGTGTGGATAGTTACAGAGAACAGATAAAGTTTCCTATTGAGAAAGGGCCACTTGATTTTGTGATTGGATGGCTATCTTTCAGTTAAGCTGTAGTAGATACCTGATTGCAAACAATCTCAATGTACAAGTCAATGAAATTAGCAAGAAACACTTTTTTGAGAGGTTAGTCACAAAAAGAAAAGGAGAGAGAAAGGAAGGTAACTTAACTCAAAGATTATGAGCATTAAAATAAAACTCCGCAAAGACTAAATGGCCTATCTCTTGTGCATGTGTTAGATATGGTGCTCTGCATTCAAATGTTAGTCTGTTTTTGGCAATAAGTAAACACACAGGAAGCCATGTGGAAGATAGATTTTAATAGATGGGAAATAGTACTACTTGTTGTTTGCTTAACTGAATCACTGTACTCTAAAATTCTAAATCTCGAGATGCTTGAGAGTAGTCCTGAGTGACACAGGTTAGATGCTTCTTCCACTATGATGAACCAGAAACCAAAGAGCGGTAGAGAGTTGGACATTCCAGTGAGAGTCCTCAGCAGGGAAATATTAAATCTAAAGTATAAATCCTCATTTTCTCTTTGTAATATAATATGTGTACCCTTACTGGAGCTGTGGTTATGTCTTCTAGCTTGCTCTCAGTTGTGCTACAATAAATTAAGAGAAGGGTTCTGTGTTTTCCTTTGGTTGAAATATTGGCAGAGGAGCATTACTCTGCTGAGTTCTGCATCTTGGGCAAGTACTATAGTTTAACTCCATAGCTGCCCTTTCCTCCAGTCAATTTGCCCAGCAGTGATTAATATCTAAGATACTTCCAAAAGAGAAAGTGATACAGGAGGTAGAAAGAAACTATTTAGGCAGAAAGTGAGGGCAAAGAGTCCTCAGCAGAACTTCCCTTCTAACAAAAAGCGGCCCAAGAAATCACTTATTTTCTAACAGAAAGCAGCCTGGAAGATCAAGCTGCAAACAAAGATAAGGAGGTCTGTAACAAAGAGCTGTTCTCTTTCTTTCTCCTATTATATTTCTGCTCTAAACCTCACCCTTGGTGTGTCCGCATCCTTGATTTCCTTGACGGTGAGACCAAGAACTCTGGGTGTCACTCCAAACAATGAGGCTGCTTCAAAAGGACTCTTACAAACAAGGGTTGAGGCCGGGCGTGGTGGCTGAAGTCCTAGCTGTAATCCTAGCACTTTGGGAGGCCGAGGCAGTGAGATCACCTGAGGTCGGGAGTTCAAGACCAACCTGGCCAAGATAATGAAACCCCATCTCTACTGAAAATAAAAAATAAAAAAATAGCCAGGCATAGTGGTGTGTGCCTGTAATCCCAGCTACTTGGGAGGCTGAGGAAAAAGAATTGCTTGAATATGGGAGGCGGAAGTTGTAGTGAGCTGAGATTGCATGACTACACCCCAGCATAGGTGAACATAGCAAGACTCCATCTCATAAAAAAAAAAAAAAAGAAAAAGAAAAGAAAAGAAATAAGGGTTGAGACTCTGAAGCCTAAAAGCCTCTCCTCCATATGAAAAATCCTCCCACTATTGCCTTGGAATACTTGAATTTGTTGTCTTTTATATTCTTGACTGGTACCTACAGAATTGTAAAAAATCTGATAAATTTTACGAGTGTAGGGAGATCTAATATATTTATTGACAACTAAAGAAACCACTAGAAAAACACTGGAGGGGATATGCTGAATTTAAGAAGACAGTAAACTTTCATTTTTAAGTGAGAAAATTTTTCTGTAATTTTTATTTCCAAACAGGTAAGATAATATTTTTAACTATGTTTAACCATTTTGAAGACATCAAAAGACAGTCACCTTATAATTAGAGTTATAGTATATGAAATTAACTGGTAAAGAGTTTTGTACTAAGATTTATTAAGGGGGCATTAATATTTTCCTAATTCAGTAATATATTACTTACAGAGTTTACAGATTTGATCAGCTTCATCAAACAACTGGACAATTCCTTAGAAGAAAAAGTAATCTATCAAATCAGTCAATTGTAGCCCTATCAATCAAAAAATTGGCAATTTGCCTGAATTCTCAATGTCTCCTTTTGACATTATACAGGCATAACCACTTTCAATAACATTTTATACTTATTCAAGAAAACAGTTTTACTACAATTTTTAGTTCCTAATTCTAACCACTTCCCACAAGAATACCTGAAATCAAATCAGATAAGAATAAAGAGGATTTCCTTTTTAAAAAATATTTATTTTCTAACTAATGACTCCTTGTATACAGGAAATAGCTATTTAAAATGCCATCTTTATGAATATTCAATTTAATTCCGATAAAGTTTTCCCATTAGGACAAGTGAAGAGAATGCTGACTATACCATAAGAAACACATAAAAACTACTTTTTGAGGGATACCATATGTAAAGAGTGAATGTTAACAAGCAGTTGGTTAGCTAGTATTTTTTTCCTGTCAAAGTGATATACTTTTTATATCTCATGTATTTAGTATTCTCATGTAGTCCTTAAAATGACTGCAGCAAGAAAGCTTTGAATGCTAATTTACCAAAGACAGGAATACACATTTATATCTACGGCACTTTAAAAGTACATTATCCCCCCCTATACTGACACATTATAATGATGTCAAGGTCCTGAAAAAAGAGCATGGCATTAACAAGATGGAAGGCTAACTTAATGGAAGTTCCATTGATAAAATGCCATCCTCACAAAGCTAGTAATTGTTCTTTAGCTATTATACTCTTACCAAAGAAGCAATATATCAGATGCCTGCTCATCTAGACATAACTCTAAAAGATTCCGAGACACTGTAAGTTGTATATCACTAAACTGGGAACATTAAAAGCAACTAACTTATTCATTAATTATTGTGTCTTACTGACTAGGGTCAAGAATTATGACAGACAATTTAATCATTAAAAATCTCATGTGTAGTTATTTGAAAATGTTGTTTTCTTTTAAAATGAAATAAACTCCTAAAAAAATAAAATAAAAAAATCTACCTTCCATGCACAGATAATAATCATATAGTGTAGGACTGTAAAGTTCTTAAGATTATGTTTGTGTTTTATTATAAGTTTCTATTTCCTCAAATGGAGCTAAATGTAATTATGCAGCATAAAATTATAGAAGCTCATCATAATGGCAAACAAATTAGCTTCCATATGAACATATTTCACTTCAAATTTAAATTAAAGCTTTAAAATTGAAAAAATGTAATTTTGATATTTTAATTTACATTATCTACATTACCATTATTCAGGTTCTTGTAGACCATCTTGCTGTTACTCTCCTTCCCTGGGTGGGTCACTGAGCTACTGACGCTAGCTTTCATGCTATCATTTGTTCCAAAAATCTTGTCCATGGTTATTTTATTCAGTGACAAAGAACTATATATTATAGAATCCTAGAAACTAAGATTTGCTCAATATGGTAAAAATGTCTCTATGTTCCCTGTGTCCCCCTACACACACCCTAAATTTAGAATTCGCTGCTGAGTATCCCATAGTAGATTGTATGATTTCTGAGAATTTACAGTCATTCACCACAACAAGTCATTCCATCAAGGAAGGGAGAAAGGAAAGAACCATAAAATGATGAAATTTACTTGAATCTCCTGGACCAATGAGCTCTTCTTTAGCCACTTTACTAGTATTTATTCATTTCATAACTATTGTTCAAACTTCTATATAACACAGTAGGAGAGGCACAAATGCAATTTGTCTTAGGTAGTTTATCTGATAAGCGAACCCTGAGTCAAAGGTCTAAGGAAAATAAACTGTGGGGAGCAGAAAGGAAGGGAAAGAACCAAGCAAAGCTGCAATTTCAGGTGAAGAAGCAGCCTCAGCCTGTCCCTACTGCTGGAGGCTCTGGAGTGGTCACTTTTCAGACAAGGGAACTTGTATTTCCTCCCTTCTTCTCCCAAGAACCACTTAGTCACTGGCTTCTGGCCTGGCTACATCTGGGGAAAGTAGAGTCCCAGGCATTTGCAAGAGAACCATGGCAACTTCAAACACCCAGGACATTTTCTGAAGGTCTCAGAAACACACATAGACACCGGGGGATCATTCCCATAGCTCTGCTAAAGGAATATCTTTAGGTATCAGGAGGGGGCACACATGGTGTCAGCTATATGATTCTAATAAGAAACAGTACTTCTCCTAAGAGGATTTTATAGTGGGTTTAAATTTGAGGAGTAAGCCAAAACATAAAAAGCTCTTTTTTGTCTCTTTGTTTGTTTGTAGTTAGGACTACTGCTGAACTAATACAAGTTGATCCCACAAAAGGCAAGCCTATACCGAGTGGCTTACAAATGGATGATATCTGGCCTGTGGCAAACTCTGTTTCATACTTGCTAACACTTGTCCTTAACATTACCCAAATATATTTTCCTTTTTTAAGATTTCTCCATAAATGTATATGGATAAGAGCCATTTTGGAACCATATATGCAAAACCCATATGGCTAAAGGCTGCTAAAAGCCTTGAAGATTATCCTGAGAAGTTCTGCAGTTAGTTTTATATTCACTGCACTCAGTGTTATTTTTGTAATTATAAAATTAAGGGAGAGTAAATGGAAACAGTTAAAAGGCATTATGACTACCTCTTAATTAGTATGTTTTAAATGAATTTGAATCTTTGCAATTAGATCCCAGGTTATTTCAGTAATTTCATGGGAAATAAATGACAAAAGAAGAAATGTTCTCTGATATTTGAGGTTTTTTTTTTTTCAAAAGCTGTTCAAATAGAAGTTTTATCCAACTATCTAAGCATCCATCTGCTGGACATATAATAATTGAGATTATATGCAATCACAGCAGAGATCCACTGTAAGACATTAAGTTATTTACTAGTCTCTATATCTTGACTTCTGTCCTGATTACATTAAAATACTACAGTGTAAAAGGCACTTTAATAAAAGCTTGGTGGTATTTGTACTCAGGCCAAACAATTCTCTTAAGACCATAAAGTCTTTAAAGAAACATTTTGAGGAACTGGGAAAGTTTACTTTTCTCTTACATATGGAAATATAGAAGAGGTTAAGGGTGACATTAGCATACACAAAACATGCCCTCATTTTTAGAATAATGAAGCTTAATTATGATAAAGAAATGTCTATGCTGAAATATTTGAATATCTAGAAAGTTATTTACCCTATGGAATTTTCTTTTGTAGTTTTAAAACAAAGTACCAGTTGAATTCAGGTTTAGTCACTATTAATGCATGTGTTTACAGCTAGCTATCAGAAAGCAAGAGTTTTCTTACAAAGATGAGTGGCAAGAAAGTTTGAGTATTGAGTATTGTAGGGTAAATCACCTGATAGCAATAATGTAAGCATACCTTTAGAATGATCTTGTACGGCAGATGCACTTGAACATGTGTTCTGAGATAGGGAATCCTGGAATGGCCAACACATAGATTCATTCCTTGTCTATGAGGAACATCTGAGCCCCTGTCCTGTCCTATGGAACATGGGTTGTACAGAGGATTCAGGTTCTGAGTTTTGGGTTAAATTAAGGTTGCCAAGTAGAGGAAGAGGTTAGGGGGAAGAAGTTAAGTGAAAATGCTATATAAACTGCATGATGATTGCAAGTGGTTGTGGTTCTGCTGCCCAGCTCGCCACTGGACTGTAGGAAGGCAGATATGTTATCTGGCCTGCCGCAACCGAACTGTTTCTGTACATAAGGGGTTTTCCTGTCTAGCCTACCGACACTAGTCTCAATCTCCTGTATGTACACCCCTTACAAAACCCCACGTCTTGTTTGCTGGCTCTGGGTCTCTTCTTTGGCCTCTTGTACCTCTTGAACCCAGTGCCTTCCCTATTGAGGTGAATAGGGGTTCAGCACAACTAATATATATAGCATTTTTACATATACTAGCAATATATTAAAAAGGTGGATTGAATTGATCCCTCAGGCAGTTCTCATCATTAACACAGTGAATGACGATGTCTGGGAAAAGCAACCTACAGTCATCCTATAATGCTTATTTCATTTCAGAGCCAATAAACCCAATTTCTGAAATCACGGTGCTATGTCATTCATTCGCTAAAATTTAAACAGCTTTGTAAGATAAAGTGTGCAGGCCTCCACCCCACCCAGTTTACCTAAGTGTGTGAAAGTGAAGTGGGTAATGAGAGCAATTAGATATACAACCTGAACAATGCCATTAGGCTCATTGTAGAGTTGTTTTGCTGTGCATCTCACTTACATAAAAATAGACCTACAAGCAACATCACCAAATAATATTGGTGATTATATGCAAATTATTAAGTAGGCAATAACTGGGCTCACTTCATATTAGTATCTTACAGAAAGCAAGCAACCTAGACCTGGAGCTGAGAGTTCTTCAAACCGTTCTTGAGCTTAGCAGAAAGCAAATCAACTAAATCTTTAAACTTACAAATACTTAATTCTTTTATGCAGCACTTCTCTCTACATTTTGCAAAATACCACAGCAGGCAAGTGATTGAGATTCAAACGTTTTACTCCTTCGAAGATGTTCTGATTTTTAGGAACACTAAGGTGATGTAAATAACCTCTCCTTATGTTTATTGATTTATTCCCTTTTAAAACAACTGCACTATGCTAATCATTCCATGTAATTATCACTCCCTCTGTAATTATGCATATCTTGCTCCCAAAACCTTGACTTCTTCACTGAATGAAGTATTAGGCTGAGGCAGTATAAAAGGAAGGCTATTGTTAATAAACATTCTAAGGTGAATGTATAGGCTTTTATATAACTTAATATATACAATGAGCCATAATAAATTCTAATTAATGTTAGATAGAGGAGTGATTAGAAATCGTAGATATTTAAACAATTTTGACCTATAAAAATTTTGACAATTTCCTATATGCCAATGCAAGTCGTATTTGACACTCTCTAGGAAACAAAACTGGCCAGTCTCACTGTATCTAGGCTTCTCAGTGTCCTCGGTCTGTTTAGAATATAGACCTAATA
The DNA here is from genome assembly GCF_000001405.40 of Homo sapiens. NCBI lineage: Eukaryota > Metazoa > Chordata > Mammalia > Primates > Hominidae > Homo > Homo sapiens. Next base: position 96,260,939 of record NC_000004.12, on the reverse strand, counting down.
ATATTATTTTCATTATTATTATTAACAATAGCAATGCTTTATGGAATGCTATGCTGTGCTTGATACTGCCCAAGAGCTTTAAATAGATTTTCTAATTTTATTCTTAATACATTCATACTGACAGACTAAATATACAACTGAACAATCATCAGATCATATATGAAATAAAACTGTGACCCACAAACTCTGCAGCAACCAGCCCAGGAAGCAAACAACAACTTTAACAACAACTGGATACAATCAGAACTTGATAAAGGGATTTCAGCTTAACTATTTTTTTGTCCTACTTACAACTCAGGATCAATCATAAACAGTTAATCTTTTTAAATCAGTTACATAAGTTCCCCTGCTTCTAGTTAGTCCACTGTCAGCTTCCTCATGCCAATGCCTCCAATCAAGGCATGTCTGAAGCCTTCCTCATTTTCACTATAGAACTTTCCTCTCTACCTGCCTTGACTCTCAAAGGCAAGTGATGGTGGCTGACTCTCATTCTCTAAACAAGCTCTGAATAAAAAGAGTCTCTTTGCTCTCTTCAGGGTGCTTATCTTTGAAGATAAGGTAATAGTTTACTCTAAAGGCAAATTAGCCCCATAGTTTCATTATGACTCCTAGGATTCTGTCTCAGTGATGCAAAAGGAGGCAATGCTTCAGAAGCCCTTGGCTGTTTTTTGCAATCCGACTGCCCTGCACTAGTAGGATCCAGGGGGTGTTGCTCACATGTAATCAAAGCCTCCTCTAAAGCTCTATGGTTCCCCTGCTCTGTTGCCTGCTGCTCTTGCTGACTTTCTGCTGATAGCTCACAGCTTACGCCCTGCACATCAGTCAGAGGCCCATCCTCCTCACTTCACCCAGCAGGGAATCAGCCAATGCTTCTGTAATATTGACAAATAAAATACAAGACTCCAGTTAAGGTTAAATCTTAATTTCAGATAAGCAATTCATTGTTTTTAGTATATTCCATGCAATATTTGAGATACACTAAATAAGGATTCATTGTTTATCTGAAACTTAAATTTAACAGGTTAATCAGAGTATATACTCTCTTTCTGTGTGTGTATATATAGTGTGTATCTATTACACATGTATAAGTATATACATATGTTTTGGTGTATATATATGTGTACATATGTCTTATTATATAAATGTATATATAAGTATATACATACATTATAAGTATATACATATTTCAGTGTACAATTTTGTAGATATATGTACACTAAAATATGTGTATACTTCTATTACACTAAAATGTATACAAAAATATATTTATACTAAAATATATATACATAGCGTAATAATTTTTTAGGACAATTGTATCCTATGCAATATTTGGAACATACTTATACTAGAAGAAGAATTATTCATTATTTAACTGAAATTCAAATTTAACCCAAAGTTCTTTTGGGTTTTTTGGGGTTTTGCTTTTTTGCTAAATCCACAACCCCTATTCCTGTGTGTGATTATGTGAAAGATACAGTACATAGCACACATTTTTGCCAACCACCCTCTTTTTCCTAGTGTGTACCAATAACTCAGGAGAGAACAGACCTACCAATGGTAGAAGGGGTTGGAGTGAGAAAGGGTTACAAACATAGCTTCACAGTGCAACTGGAATCTAGTCCCTTCTGTATGCTCTGGTACATTTTGTTAGATGTTTATATCACTCATCCCATAGAAAGTCTAGTTGTTCATTTTACTCTGGCTTCCATCATGGGTGCCGCATTTCTCAAAAATGTCTATCTGTGCCTGATTCCCCAACTGTGGATCACGTTCAATTTTTTTTTTCATTGAGCTCATAGACCATGTTTCTGCGTTCTGATTTAAGTATGGCTGACCATTCTATGACATTTGAAACAAAGAGAATCTCTATGGAAAATTACTCTTTAACTCCATGAAGTGATCTTAATTTAGTTCTAATCTAGCTGTAATGAAAAAACATACCAAAGAAGGAAAGGAACGGATGGTAATTGGGTCCACGGTCAAGGATTTCCTATTGCAAGGGCAGTAGAGTAAAAATGGATTGTTAAGGCAAAATAAAAAAAACACGTGAGCGTGTGTGTGTGTGTGTGTGTGTGTGTGTGCGCACGTGCGTAAGTGGGGTGAAGAGATGCACAATTATGGAGAAAATTAGTAACAGGTTTTTCTACCCAATAACAGTTTTGTTGTAAAGTTAGAATGACAGCTAAGCCAGCTAAATCATGATAGGCACCAGATATTGTAATAGAGAAGTTTGTACTTTATTTTGTGATTATGAGGCTTAATTGTAGATTTAAAGTGGTGGTTGAGAAGCAGACCATCATAATAATGCTTTAGGAAGTGTATTCACTTCTCCTATGTAGGATAGGTTGAAGTAGAGAGGGATTTCCATAGCAGGGAGACCACTTGGAAAGCTGTCATCATAATACAGAAGAAATTATGAACACCAAAACATAGTTAGGAATGATACAGAAGGAAATAAGAGACAAAATGAGAAAGTAAAAGTTGACACTCAGCTTGGAGCCTGGGTAACTTGGAGAATACTGGCATTATTTATAAGATTTAGAGAGACAGAAAAAGGCACTTGTTTTGGAAAGATAATGACTTTTTGAAAAAAGAAGCATGGCGAATCTTTGACGTTTCAGGAGGGAGTCATCTGAATTGAAGTGTTCTATCAGCAGTATAGGACATGGAGATAGTATAAAAGACACCAGAGCTACAGTTAAGAATTACAGGTGATCTAAAATTTTGTGATCAAGATGTCAATTTTCCACTGATAAGTAAAGAACTGGGGATAAAGTACTAAATCTTTGGAAATATCCATACATATGGGGGCAAAGCAGGAGAATCAATTAAATGGTCCGGAGATGATGCAGTCAGTGCTGCTTCTGTGTGTACAAGATCTGTGCTGGAATACAGTACACATGCTTTTAAGGGCCTTAACCCCTAGGTCACGGTTAGGGTTAGGACACCAGTTCTCAGATTCAAAAACCTAATTTATCCCAAGTGGAAGAAGTAAAGAAGCCAAACAGTTAAACATTAATAAAACATTAATAAAAAACATTTATGACCTCACTAGTAACAGGTTTCTTAACTATATGGCAAACAACACTGTAAGAGGAAATAGTAATAATTTTAATTACATTAAAAATAAACCATATGGAAAGTAAGACCATTCTTCGAAAGATATCAAAGATATTTTCACAACAAACCCCCAATCTGGAAGGTACATACCCACATAAAATTGACAGAGTAGTATCCATAACATACTTATTAGCATACTTACTAATTAAGAAAAAGATAACTGAATTTAAAAATGGGATATATAATAAACGTAATTTTTCAGAAGCAAAAGAAAAACAACAGATAACTTTAAAATTAAGAGATAAAAATTAAATCTAAGTTCAGATATTATTTTACACTCATGAGATTGACCAAAGTAGAAGTTTGACAGTGTAAAGGATTACTGAAGATGAAATGCAATGAAAATAATTATATACTGCTGGTGAAAATACAATCTAGTAATTCACCTCTTAAGAACAGATACTAGAAAACTCTTGTACACATGAACCAGAGGACATGTATAAGAATGTTTTCAGGCCTGGTGCAGTGGCTCACACCTGTAGTTCTAGCACTTTTGGAGGCCAAAGTAGGTGGAGTGCTTGAGCCCAGGAGTTTGAGACAAGCCAGGGCAAAATACTAAAACCCTGTCTCTACAAAAATAGAATGAAAAAATGTTTTCAGCAGTATTACTTATAGTACAAAAGTCTGAAAATCATTCAAACATCTAGTAAGTTTAGAAAAAATAAATTGTTATACACATTGCTGGGAGATGATTATAGGTCTTTTGCTTTTCTGTACACTTTGCGAAGGAGACGCTGAAAACCCTTTTTTCTGGACTATAATTTCAAGAACCTTCGTATAGTCAGCAGCTTTGAAATATGCAGTGTCTCACCCTGGAGCAAAGGGCAGATCTGCTTATAGCCATGAAAGAGATATGTACTGCCTTCCCCGAGAGCAAAAGGCCGATCTGTTTATTGTGGAGTAAAATGATGTCTCCCTGTCCAGGTTAAAGCAGGCATGCTGGTTTCCCATTATAAAAGATTTGTGTTTCATAATTTCAGGGTTTCCTTCTGGTAGCACAATCCACTATGCATGCAGGTGCCTATGGCCCTCTTCTTGTCACCCTCTGGAAATTGAAGCTCAGAGTACCAGAAAAATACATTAACACACACGTTGCTTATTATGCCATGAGTAATAAAGTTCTTTGTCTCTGACCCAGGAGTTTTGTGTATTCTAGGAGCATTCATGAACTGAGATATGCCAACTGATTACAAGTAGGCTAAAATCTCAGACCTTTCAGACTTCTTGATAGCTGAACAATAAATTAAGTAATAAGATATAATCTACTCTAGGTATATTCATCTACATGGATGAATCATAAAACACTTGATTGAGCCAAAAAATTAAGGCAAAGTCACTGATATGACTGTTATGATGATGCCAGAAACACCTTGGCCTAATGTGCTAACTTTAAAACTGATTGCACAGTGCATTTCCTCTGAATTTTTCATGTTTGATTCCTCTGTTTCATTAACTTCCCACATCAGAATCATCAGGAATTGCCCTTGCTTCCATCTTGAGAATGTGTCCTGACTGTGATCACTTTTTACCACCTCTTCCTTGATTACTTTAATCCAAACTACCACTTTTATTTTACCTGAAATTCTGCAATAATCTCTTAAGCTATCTCCATCTTCTGTTCTTGATCACAGCCAGTCTATCCCCACACAGCAGCCAGTGAGGTCCTTTTTAACTATAGTGTTGTCATGCCACTCCTTTTTCCCATGAAGTCCAGGAGCTGTCCCTGGCACTATTGTCATACTAGACCCCTGTTGACTTGGTATGTACAGTACCATGTTGGAGAGGCCAAAGAAGGGACCTGGAGCCAGTGAACAAGACATAGGGTTTAATAATTAGACTTACACACAGGGCAATCCAGTGGTGGTGGGCTGGACAGTAGAACTGCTACTGTTAATAAAACGCATGCAGGTAATATCGCATTTTCACTTAGCACTCTCCCTCCTTACTTCCACCTGGCAACCTTCACTTAACCCAAAACAAAAAGCTTTGAACTCTATATAGCTGGGATTCTGCTGGATGGGCCATGGATGCAAATACTCCAGTTGTCTACTACCAGATTCCTTAGCTCACTACTGTCAATTTGAAATCATCAGATATTTTTAATATCTCCTCCTCTGACCATTAGTTTTTGTTGTTACTGTTGTGTTGTCTGTTTTATTTTTGTTATTGTTCTTCCTTTAAAGCAAACTCCTATTAACATTATTTGATTATTATTAAATATGATTACTTAGCTTGAACAACTTACACAATTTAGCCAAATTTTATGAAGAATTCAAATTGCTTCTTAGAGGTATATGAGTTTAACCAAAAAATACCTGCGTTCCTTATAGATTTTCAAATTTGAACAGGCTTAATTCACCTTCTGAAGAAACTGCTGTGAATTCAGCATAACAATCTAACCTCCTTTTTCAGGCTCCCAGGTTAACTAGAGCTAAGTGAACTAATAAGATGGGAGGGAGTTCTCCCACTTTCCTCCTGTACCCAGTCTACCTTAGACTTCTCTGTGTTTCCTTTTTCACTTTCTGTTTTTCCTTCTCTCTGCTTCCATGAGTTAGTGATCATCAACTGTCAGAGAAGTTAAGTGCCAGGATTTTTCACAAATGCAACAAAGTGCAGGTACAAGCTTTGCCTCTGGGACCACAGAGATCCAAAATGTATTTGAGATAGATACCAAAATTAGAAATGGAGACCAACTGATTACAAGTTTGTGCTTCATAATTTCAGGGTTTCCTTCTGGTAGCACAATCCACTATGCATGCAGGTGCCTATGGCCTATTTGTGATTGTAGGTGAGATAACACAGATCAGGAAACATAAGTGAGCCAGAAAACAGGTAAATAAACAGATACAGGGCCTGACCAGAGGTCATGCCTGAATTGCTTCCCTTTTTTGTTCCTCACCCAATACAAAGTCAGCATTCAAACAAAAATCCTTAGTACTTGATTTTTTATTTCCAACAATATTGTAAATTTCTATAAAAATATGAAGTAATGATGATAACATTGTTAAAACACTTGTAATTGGCTTAGGGTTATTAGAGAGCACAGAAAAATTGAAAATCTACTGTAGCAGTAATACACAAAAATGTTTCTACATGTATGTACTGAATTGCCTTGAACTCTGTCATTGTGTCTACAACGGAAATATTATTCATGGTGTTACAGATGTCCTCAGAGTGCTTTTACTCCATGGAGGAAATTGTGCTCATATCTTATCAGCAGAAAATAGTATTTGTGTAAAAATATAAGACTGTTACATTGAATGTGTTTCTTGCTTTGCTTTGACATTCAGGGAACTTCAAGCCAAATTTCATTGTCATTTAATGGCAAGTGAGAGATACTAATGTTATTGATCTCAGTGTGTTTATCTTGCCTTTATTCTTTCTAGAATAAATTGAAAATAAATTCAGAAGTAACTGTTTAGAAATTTATTACAGATATATTTTATAGTTCTACCACTGAGATATAACCAATTTTTCTTTCAGTATTTTAGCACATGAGTGTCTTTCATTCAAATACATAGGCCATTCATTGGTATAAATTATCAAGGGTGGTATTTAATTCCCAACTGAGTCTAATTTTTAAATTCTCCCATCTTAAATAATCAAAAAATAGGGTGATACCTCCAACTCCAATGCTCAGTATTCTGTCCAATTGCTCCCTCTTTCTGCCCCATTTCGACTCTGCTCTTATCATAAATTTCATTCTCTAAGTGCATTTCCAGATTGAGAGTTCTGGTATCCAAGGCTTAGATGACCTTATTTATTATCATTTTATCCCACAGCATCTCTGATAACAAGCATAGGTTTCTCCAGTATTGTCCACGGTACAGAGTCATAATCATCATCTTCAAACACTTTATCAAGTTTTGGCACAGCCTGGGGTGAAAACAACAATGTTAAAAGGAACATGTGAAAGGTCAAGAGAAAAGAAAGATATTTAAGATACTAAAAAATGGTTGAAATTTGTGCTGGTGACACTGGAAGAATAGCACACCAGACTCTAGTACAGTTGTAGAGAGTTAAAGTTAACTAGTTTATGCCCATAAGCATTCTTAGCATATAGGGAAAAGAAAAGAAAGGGGAAACACATATTTAAGTAAGTTTGAACCTAACACTACACTTCTGGACATGCTATCCATTTCTGGAGGATTGCTGTGGTTAGTAAATTCAAGAGTCAATTCTGACTTCTGGAAACCAAAGTGTTACTCAAGATTTAATCAAGTCTTACTGATTTCTCTTTCCTTCAAAGATAGGTTTTCCATAAATTGGAGGTTGTTGGTATGGGAGAAAGAAGAAAGTGAAGAACTTGGTGAAAGGCTGAGAGATTTCGAAAGACAGAAATCTGCAACTATCGAATAAACTTTTAAAAATCTTCTACCAGATTGATAGAGTTAAGATATTAATAATAGTATTCATACCTTGGCCTCACATAATTTGTATTAAAGATGGAGCTTTGTTTTAATGGCTTTAGTCACTTCATTTCTTTTGAAGTTTCATGACTTGGTTATTAATTCAGTTTTTAAAATATGAATAGTAAAAATGATCACTTTGCTGAATATGTCATTTTATATTGTCTATTAAATATACAAGATCAGCTATAAAGAAATGCTGCAAGCACAGGGTGTGAAAAGATATAGAAGAGTCCTAGTAACAGATTGCAATTATTTTAAACCTTTTCATGAAGATTTTACATGTTGACAAAGCAGTAATTACTGAAGCTATGTGTACAAGGTGAAGTGCATATGGAGTGGGACCAGTGAGAAAGAAGTTCAGGTGTGAAATCTCTCAGGCATTGAATTGTTGCGTACTAGGCAGGTCGTGGTGCTATGTGGGAAGAACAAATGAACACATTTTCAAAGCACAGCTGCCCCTCATTTGGATGCTGACTGGATACCTTCTGTCTCCTGGGTTTCTTTGTCCTTTGAAATATAATTTCTGGTCTTTTCTTCACTACATTAAGTAAGATTTGCATAAAGTCACAAACCAAAAAAGGAAATTTCTATGTTTTAAATATGTAACTTTTATATAAACAAGATATCCACTAGCTTCAAGTTTTTAACCTCAAATCAATTCAATAGTTTAGTTTTTAAGGTCTAGAATAAAATAAAAGCTAAAATGATTGCAAGAGAACCTACAAACAGTTTAAATGCATTTTAACTGAGTTGTCCATGAAATTCTGCCTGACTCATTCCTTGCTAGAAACCTTGGTAGGACCCTCTGTAGAGGCAAGAGAAAACCATTCCTGTGCAGGAAACTTCTGTAGAGGCAGTATACTGGTCTGTTTTCACACTGCTATAAAGATATTACCCGAGACTGGCTAATTTATAAAGTAAAGAGATTTAATTGACTTACAGTTCTGCACGGCTGAGGAGGCCTCAGGAAACTTACAATCATGGCTGAAGGGGAAACAGGCACATCTTACATGGTGGCAGGCAAAGGAGGAACTGTCAAACACTTATAAAGCCATCAGGTCTCTTGAGAACTCATTATCATGAGAGCAGCATGGGGGAATTCACCTCCTTGATCCAATCACCTCCCACCAGGTCCCTCCCTTGACACCTGGGGATTAGGGCATTACAGTTTGAGATGCGATTTAGGTGGGGACACAGAGCCAAACCATATCAGTCAGTAGAGTGTAGAGCTTAAAAGCTCAGTTGGATCCTAGCTTCAGTACTTAAAAGCAAACTGAGGTAAACTGTCTCTCAGTTTCCTCCTCTGCAAAATCAAAGGTAGAAAAAGTACCATATTATAGTATCCCTTTATTATAGGTATGTAGTAAAAATTGGGAAAGATGTCTGCCTAATAATCTGTACTACTGAAGTGTTTACTATTATTTTATTGCTTTCTTCCAAGATTGATATGTCTTTGAAATGGAAAAAATTATATGACCAGATTTATTCCAATCTATATTATCATATTTAAGAATAAAAATCATTCTGCTATTTTCTTAACTAAAGAATGCATAATTGCAATACAGTTGAGAAAGAAACTTACACTTCTTTGCAAAAACCTCAAAAATGGATTAAGTACAACAGTGTTTATGTAACCAAGTAAATAAACTAGAAAATAAATATAGAAAATCAAAAGACAGTATGCTTCAATAAATGCAGAGCTCTTATTTTTAATATAACACAATATTAATTTTTAAATTAGATATTAGGGTTTCAGGATTTAAATGATTTGAGTTAAATTATATACTTAGTATTCTTTTTCCTAAAGAACAAGTTTGAACCTCCTGACTACAGAATTAGTTCATCCAGTTATGACTTATTTTGTTTAATATGATGGTAATAATATGGCAGTATATTTCCCATCTTAGGTTATTGTCCTACATGTAATTTACATTCTTATTTAGTCAATTTTTAAAAATATATTAGGAAATTTCACACATGAGTATAAAAATTCCATTAAATTATATATAATATTCTACAGGTGTAGGTATCTGAGAATATCAAATATTTATTTATTGAGAAGTATTCCAATTCTTTAATAGTGTGTAATAAACCACCCAAACTTAGTGATATAGCACAAAAATAGAATCTGTGTGTCAGGAGTCTGCAAAGAATTCAGTGGGTTGGCTCATCTCTGTTCCACAATCTTTGAGATCTTAGCTGGAAAGACTGAAAGAGCTCGGAACATCTCAGAGAACTAGGGATCAGTATCATTGGAGGCTTCTTCACTCACATGTCTGATGCCTGGGCCAACATAACACGGAAGTTGGCTCAGCTGAGACTGTTGAATGTAATATGCCTACACCCCTTCATATAACTTAGGCTACTCAAAACATGGTGGTTGAGTTCCAAGAGAGCATCTAAAAAGGGAATGTCCAGAAAGCAAGGGTTCCAAGAGAGGAAGGCAGAAGGAAGCTGCAAGACTTTCTCTGACCTAACTTTGGAAGTATTCAGTGTCATATTTGCCCCATTCTATTGGTAACAAGTGAGTTTGGATGGCCAGGCAAGATGCAGGGCTGCAAAGGGAAGCAATCTGAGTCACTTGTTGGGGGAGTGGTAAGGTCACATGGCAGAAGAGCCTGTGGGATGACTGAAATTGGTGCAGCTATCTTTGCATAAAGAAAACCTGCCACAGGGATCATATAATCCATCATGTTACTAGGTTAGTTTTAGGTTGCATGATGTACACAGAATTTTAACACAGGTACACAAAAATAACAAGGTTAATATAAAAGAATTCATCTGTATCCAAAAAGTAGAAAACATATTTTCAAAAGGCTTCTGTGAAGAGCATCTCACAAAAGTTATGAAACTTAAAATTCATTCATGATACCTATTAATTATAAGAAATGATACCACTGAAATAGAAGCATCTTTAAAAATATTTTAAATATAGTAAAGGCTGCAGTACTATGAATTGAGCTATATTTTGTAAGCCATTTTTGATATGCAATAAATATTAACATACATGAATTATGATTATTTACAAATAAATTGTATTTAAGTGAATATGATAACATCAGTGTTTGCTGGAAACTCAAATTATTTTGGAGAAATTAAATTTATAAATAAGTAAATATAATACAGAACAGGAAATACTTCAATTAGATGTGTCATCCAAGCACTTTCAGAAGAAAACGATTAAAATTACCAGGCAAGTTTGACCAAAGTTACAAGTTGAAAGCTATGAAAGCCTACATAAAACTAACATTATTTCATTAGCCTAAGTCAGTTATAGAAAAATAGACATTTATATACGATATATATGTACATTTCACTAGCTCAGATACATGAATGATATCAGGTAAAAATACTAATAATTTTTTTCTCCAGCCTTCTTCTTCTTTATAAAGACCAACGATGAATATCAGTTTTGTATGAGTTTTGAATCCATCCAAAAAACAGTTTTTGAATGTGTACTTGCTAGTTTCTGAGCAAAAAAATGAATAATTTCTGTTATTTTGTTTTAAAGAAATTAAGTGAAATAATTTGCTATTTCATTTGAGATTAAAAACACAAGCTGAATGTGCACTGCGCACAACTCCTTCTTCACTTCTGTTTCCTCACAAGAGAAAAATATTCATTTCAATTAATTTCTGCAGCTAATAGCTAAAAACAGAAAGAAGAGAAAGGACTTTGCAAAATAAATACTTTTTTCTCCTTTTAAATTCATTTTTTATGTTTTCAATATACACATATTCCTGATATGTTTTCAACATATTTCTGATATATTTTCAAATAGCTATGTTATGGATTTCAACATTTGAGAAACAATGTCTACAATCTCAATCAAATGTTAATATTTCCACTATTGATCATTTTTTAAGTAATATCATTTCTCAGTTGTGGTGTTCCTACCTTAAGACACCATGAAAATGTGTTTAAGAAAGACACTGAGAGGAAACAAAAACTTTATGCCAACTTGTGTTGTTTTTTTTTTCTGGTTTAGGAGATTTGTATTATTTACTTATTGATTTAAATTGGCACATTGTAATTGTACATATTTATGTGTTATAATTTGATATTTCAATACATATACATGTTATATGATCATATCAGATTACTTAGTATACCCATTACCTCATGCTTTATCATTGATTTGTGGTAAGAATATTCAAAGCCTCTCTTCTAGTTGTTTTGTAATATACAATAACTTGCTGTTATCCACCATCCTGCTGTGTAATAGAACACCAGAATTTATTCCACCTATTTAACTGTAACTTTGCATCCGTTGACATAAATGTCTCCATTGTCCCTTCCTCAGTCTCTGGTAACCACTGTTCTAACTCTGCTTTGATGATATCAACTCTTTTGTCATTGTCGTTGTTGTTTGTTTGTTTGTTATATTCCACGTGAGTGAGATCATGTGGTATTTGTCTTTCTGTGTCTGGTTTATTTCACTTAACATGATGTCCTGAAGGTCCATCCAAAAATGACAGGATTTTATTATTTATTTATTGCCGAATAGTATTCCATTAGGTATATACACTACAATTTCATCTAGTGTTGAACACTTAGTTTGAAGGGTTGATTTAATATCTTGGCTGTTGTAAATAGTGTTGCAATAAACATGGGAGTGCAGATCTCTTCAACATACTGATTTCATTTCCTTTGGATGTATACACAATATTGTTGAATCATATTAGTTCTAATTTCAATTTTTTGTGGAATCCCCATTCTGTTTTCCATAGTGGCTATATTAATTTACAATCTCACCAACAGTGTCGACTTGGTTTAATTCTTCCTAATGGACGCACCCTAAGAGCAACTGCATATTTTTCTTGTTTTTATGTAATCCACTTATAATCATTAATCTGCTCTGGACATATTGCACAGAATTTTCTCTTAAAAGTAGCAAATGAATCTTGGTGTCTAATATGGGTGTTCATGATTGACTGATACAATGTAATCCTGGGAAGGAATTTTCTAGTGCTGTCTCATTAACCAGATGACCTCCAGACATTGTCAGCACAACGTAGCCGAGGTGATTGATCACCAGAGAACAGAGGTTAGTGACTCTCCCCCAGGTATTAATGTATAGCATCTTCACTTACCCCCCTCTCAGGCTTTTCCAGTAAAAGATTGATTTATTATGCAGCTTCAGTGGGGATTTGTCAAACTCTTAATCAAGAAATCCTATATTGCCACAAGTAAATCAATGACACTTTCTGGTAAAATGACTTTTATGGCACATGAAAACATTACTGTATATGCAGGTACTATTCAGTAACAGCAAAATATATTCAGCCAGTGAGGCAGAGATGGACCAATGAAAGGGAAAAAACAATACACCCATTTGTTGACAAACAGATGCTATTGTAAAGAGTGCTTTTTGTTGTTTCCCATGATGAATAAACACAATTCAAAGCTCTTGGGTTCTCAGTAAAAGGAAGATAGAGGTGAAATGGCTAAGGAAGAAATACACCCTAAAGAGTGAATGTTTGAGGTGTATATATAGAGAATATGATGTGAAACAAAATTTCAGAGCCTGATTGTTTTTGATGATCCCTCCTGTTTAAATGCAAGTGACCCCAAAGACCAAGTGACTAGCAGGTGCTTCGTTGATTTCATTATATATTGTACTTTTGCTTGAATTCAATAAGCAATGTTATATTTTATGAAAGCGACTAGAATTCTCATTCTCTGCCAAACTATATACTAAATAATGTGGCTTCAGAAAAAAATGTAACTAATTCAAATTAAAGATATAAAAGTCGGGTTACCAACTAAAGTAGATAAAAACCTCTTCTGTCTGCCCTTTGATTCTAGGAGTATATTCCTCACTTCTGAAAATATGTTTTAAACTATATTCTCTTTAATGGATTGCACTGTATTCCCTAAAAGAAGACATGTTGGAATTCTAATTCCCAGTAACTCAAAATGCAAACTTATTTGGAAATACAATCTTTGCAGATTTAACAAAGTTAAGACATGGTAATTAGGCTGGACCCTAATCCAATATGATGGTCATCCTTATAAAAATGGAAAATTTGGACAGACACAAAGAGGGAACTTGGAGCAAAGATGGCCATGTGATGACAGAGGCAGAGACTGGACTTTGGCAGCTGCAAGCCAAGGAATGTCAAGAATTGCTGTCCATCACCAGAAGTTAGGAAGAGGCAAGGAAGGATTTTGCTCAGAGACTCAGGGGGAGCATGGCCTTGCTAATTCTGGACTTTTAGTTCTCAGAAATGTAAAAAAAAACAAAAAAAAAACACAAATTTCTGTTGTTTTAAGTCACCTATTTTATGCTACTTTGTTATGGTTGCTCTAGAAAACTAATGCCTTCTCTGTATCATGTATCCAGGCCAGCATTTTCCTGAACTGAGAAGATAGTTGCCACCTAGACTGGCTCGACATAGGCGGGTACTACTTCATGAGTCTGGAGAAATGGAAGACTCATTGCACTGAGCCTAGAGGTTTCATGCCATAGACAAGGCTATTTGTGTGTGAGCACCAAATGGATGAAACAAACACTGTAAGTTACTCTGTAAGAAGAAAATAGTCTCACCTCAATGAGGTGAGATGGTAAGAACATTATGTTAAACCAGTGAATATTGGCATGCCAAGCTTGTCATGAATAACCCAGACTTACATATCAAGGGCAACAACCTACATTTAAAGTAGAAAGGACCATTTCCCTTTACAAGAAACATTTTATTGTAATGTTCCTTTAAAGGATCCTCACTATTTTAGAAGAATAATTTGTTTTGAGGAATGGCAAGGACATCTGAGAATGACTTGTAGGATTTTATTCTTTAATATTTAATTCTTAAATATCTTATAAATATGTATATGATGACCATATGACACGGCCTCTTCTTGAAATAATGTATGTTAATCAAAATCTCCTACATATGATATAGGTTATATTTAGAGTTATCAGTACTAGCTTTTTATAGTTCCTAATGAATCTCTAGCAACTGCTACACTTTTGCTCCTAATATCACTTCACATCTAAATAATCTTATATTTAAGAATTTGCAAGTCTTTTTGCATCCAAGTACTTAGACCATTAATTTGTATACAACTACATGAATATTTAAAGATCCATTCAAACTAGAAATCAAGTGAATTAGATTTTCTCATGATACAAATTGAAATACCATATCAAAATGAGATGTTTTTATTTGGAAAGAATAGACTAATATGGGGGAAGAAGCAAATCAACATTTTATTAGTGACTTACTCTAAACTTATTAACAATAAATATAACTATTAACACAACAAAAAATTTATAAAATCAATCATTTTAAAGAAATTCCTACTTAATTCAATGTGAATTTCAGTGGATCTCATTTAAGCTAAGCCAACAATATCATCAAATAATCCAATTTAATTTTAACTATTATTTTAAAATTAAAACATAGTTCACCCTATCACACACACGCATACACTCACACATAATGTAAGAAAACAAGCAATAAAATGGACAGACTTTTCACAAGAAAAGTATGCTTTCAGATGCATATGAGAGAATGAACTAGAAGAAACTCGCTCTCCAATTTAGAGCCCCTAAAATGACCTTATTGATTTGCCTTGGGACAATCTCCTTCCAACACAGGTTTCTTTTCATTGAATGGATGTCCTTTGAAGTCAATTAAACTTGGGCATGGCACACCTAAGACTACAAGCACTTTTATAGCTGAAGGCAAAAAGTATTTGACGAGTGACATGGAAATCACACTCCTGATATGAAGCACTATTTTCAACCTTCAAGTATGTGGGAAATACAAAGTAAGTGTATTTGTTTGATATTTAAAATTGAGCTGTTTCAGAGCTTTGGAGAATAAATATACAAATTTAGCTGAGCTTTTCTTAACTTTTTTTAAGTGCAGGCCTACAGAACTTTATTCTGTTCCCAGTTGCCAGTTTTCTTATAAATGTGCGGCCTTGCCTACTATAGTGATCATGTGAGAGATTCAAGAGCAGATCAAAGACAATTCAACAACCACAGATGCTGGGAATGGCTAAATGTGGGTAATCTGGGTCATCTGTCAAAACGGGAAACTTAGATTTGGCTCAGTTATTTCAGAAATCTTTGATTGATACCAGGTTATTCCCATTTGATACATTTCTAAATCTAGTGGTGAATCTAAACTAGTAATTCAGAATAGCCCCCTTTGTGGTAGCACAGTCATTATTTTTCTTACATAATAATTTTGAGGAAAATCCTTATTCTGAGAAAGCTAGAAAATCTTTTTAAACATTCACCCAGGTTCACAATATGTAATTCATAATTAAAGGTTAAAAAGAGAAAAATTAATTTATACATGTTAACTTAGTTATATAAAACATAATGGTCTAAAGGCTTTACTTTAATACTTCCATTGCTATAAATTTCATAGGAACAGAAAGATTCTTTTACTTCCATTTATTTGTGAAAAACAGTATTTACCTATTTCCTTTAACTGTGAATAATACTCTCCCATTTCCTCTGTGAAATGAAAGCTACAGATAGTAAATTGCATATTCACTTTGGCTAATGGTCTAACTCTGTTCATACTGTGTTGCTTTTTCTCTTAGTAATGCTATCTTACATCCCTATGCTAATATTTAGTTTGAGAGTGAGTTTTAAAAAGAATTACCTGGGAGTTATAAATCTTAAGAATCTATGAGAAAATAATTCACCAATGAATTTACTTATTATTATGGAAGTACTTGGTTTTTCTCCATGTTCATATTAAATAAGAAAATATCATAAAAATCTTAGATACCCTCAAATGCATCAATATATAAATCTGAGAGTTCAGTTTAGAGTTAAAATTATCTGTAGAAAATAATGCAGGGGCTCACAAATTTCTTCTAATTGTGATCTCATATTTATTGTTATTGCCTTTATTTTTTTCCTAACATTGAAAAATGTGATCTATTCATCTACCCAGCCATCTTAGCAGATTTTCTATTATATATATTACAAAGGCATTTATTTCCACATCTCAGTTAGAAGACAGTAATTAGAATGTTGGTAACTCAAGTAATATTTGAGAGCATTTAGATGTTACATCAAAAACATCTGCATTAAACGAAATGAGTTTCATTTACATAGAGGCTTTCCCTGCTGAATACCATTTTCCCATATCCCCCTGATGGCTGCCTATGATGTCATCAATCCTTGCTTTAATTGGGTCATCCTATTCTGGAGTTCTCATAGCTATTTCCACACTATATCATGCAATTCCAAAGCCTTCACCACTGTTCAAAGTTCTGTGGTGGTTCAACTGAAATAAGCTTATTTTCTTTTCACTCTTTTTAGAACTGCTGACTTAACAGCATGTGTTTTAAATTTCTCTTTTAACCAGTACCTGCTAGTGCCTTGGTATCCAAAGTGTTTGGTTTGAACGACTGTATCAGCATCACCTGGAATCCTACTGGAAATGCAGAATCTCCAGCTTCATTACAGACTACCGAATCAGAATTTGCATTTTAACAAGATCCCTGGGTGATTTTTATGCATTTGAACGTTGAGAAGCAATGTTCTTGTGCACCAAGTCACCCTCCCTTTATAACCCCATTACCTTGTTCCTATCTAGCAAAAGCAAAAATAAAATTGGATCTAACAAATCATGTGCGAGGGAAAGAGGTAAAGAGATCTGCTCTTCAATATGTAAATGAACACATTTATTTGTTGTCTCGCATCTCTGTCCTACCCTCTATTACATTTGTACTGTTCATATCCAGTTTCTCTCTACTCATGTTGCCAGGCAGGCCATCTCCTTCCTCTGCTACAGACCCCTCACTTAATCCAGATTGTAACTCCTTCATTCCGCACCGTTAGCAAACATGCTTCTTTTAGCTAATAATCTTTTAAACATTCATTCAATTTTCTCCTCCATTTCATCCTTCCATGTCTCTGGGTTATTGTGGGATTTTAGTAATTTTTCAGTTATTCTTCTATTACATTAATTAAGCCTTAGGACCTACAGGTTTAATACTCTTTACTCAGTGTGTCATTTTGAATCAAAAATGCTTTCCATATCCTATTCAAACAAGTCTAACCTTGTCTCTGTCTCCCAGTTCTCCAGCTTCAACTTAACTCAGCTTCTCAACAATATTTTACTCAGTTGTCATCTCCTTCCTTCCCCAGATTTTTCTCATAGCAAATTGGCCAAGGTTTAAGAGTCTTCCAACTTCTAAATATTGGTTAACTCTGGGCTTTTCTATTTTCTCTCTCCAGCCCCTCCGTAGGTGATCCATCCAAGGTTGTGGCTTTAAATATGACCCATATCCTCAAGACAATAATTTCTTTCCTATCTATCTTCTAAATCTCTCCTAAACACCAAACTTTATTAAACTACATACTAGACACCTCCGCATTGATTGTGTGCTATTTGGATTTTTTAAAAAATTTATATATAAGTGATACCTAGATCACTAGCTAAATGATTAAGACATTAAATTCATGTTTACAGCTCCAGAAATGAAAACTCAACCAATTTCCTAAAGAACAGTAACACATCATATCATCAACTCATAAACATCTGAGGATAGAAGTGAGTTTCCAGGAACTGCACAGACACCAAATATATAATGACGTGATCTGAGTCTGAAAGCATTCAGTGAGGCCTGCTGTTTATAATATGGCCTCACTGGCTCAGGGTCTAAACAGAACATATATGGAAATAAAGTTTTGACTCCTTCCTCTATACTCAATCTATCTCTTCATTAGTCTTCTCCAGCTCAGTAATTGGTAAACTACATACTCTATTATTCAAATAAAACCCAAAGTTCATCATTAATTTATTCCTTTCCTTGAGTCCAAACATTCAGGTCATCACCAAGTCTTTGATACATGTCTTCAATGTGCTCATTTTTTTCTCTATAACTCTAATTCAAGCTACCATAACCTTTTTTCCTAAGATTATTTTCACAACTTAATTGGTTTCCCTGCTTCTAACCTTACACCCTAAAACCCAATGTTCACACAGTGATCATTATAAAACATAATTCAGCCTACACTATTTTTTTTTATTTACCTGCATGGGACAGTCCAATGACTTTTCAAATACTTTATCTGCATTTATGATATAATTTTACATATTTCCTAGACTACTTGTCCTACACTCACTATACTCCAGAATATAGGCTTCCTTTCTCTTCATTCAAATTGATAAGCTCTCCTGCCTCATGATCTTAACATCCTGTTTCCCCCTGGCTTTCTGTGTGATTGGCTCCTCTCATCATTCTGTTTTCTATCCTAACACCACCCCCTTACCTTGCACATAAAGTACCTTATTTACCCAATTTGCTCTTTTTAAATTGCTCTCTTTATTCTAGAAATTTTTGATACTTAAAATTAACATATTATTTGGTATATAAAACAAGAACAGTGATTTTTATGTCTTAATCAGCATATTTCCCCACCTCCTAAAACAGCATATCAGAATATCTACTGTTTAATATATATTTGATGAATGAATGAAAAGAGAGAAAGATAACCTGTTCTTATAGAGCTTATTGTCTACTAGATTAAGAATCAAAGTAAAGGTTCAAGTAAAATGTTACATGAATACAAGATCATTATTATTTTCTTTGGAATTATTATTATCTTTATCTTCATTTCAGAAATGAAGTAAATGCAGAAAGACATTATTCTTACTCCTTTCAAGCTGTTATAACAAAATACCATAAATGATGTAGCTTACAAATAACAGACATATATTTTTCACAGTTCTGGGTACCAGGAAGTCCAAGATCAAGGCAAAGGCAGATTCAGTGTCTGGTGAGGACCCACTTTCTGGGTCAGAGGTGGTGATTTCTTGCATGTCTTCACATGGTGGAAGGAGCCAGTTAGCTCTCTGGGGCTTCTTTTATTTAAGTACTAATCCTATTCATGAAAGCTCCACCCTCATTACCTAAGCAACTCTGAAAGACCCCACCACCTTCTAATACTATCACATTAGAGATTAGGTTTCAATATATGCACTTTTGAGGAGGATACAAACATTCAGACCATAGCATACTTACACTCAGGGAAGACTATATGAACTCTCAGGAATTTACAAACACTGCTTTTAAAAATGTGATCCTCGGCCCCTGAACTATTAACATGAATAAGGTTCAAGACTGGAAACAGTATGCTATGGTATAATGTCAAATACTTCAATAGGAGTCTGAGAAATTGGATTCATTCTTATTCTACTACTTTCTAATTGTGGCAACTTGAGTGAGTCTTTTCACTTATTTGATGTCTATACATTTTGCTACCAGTTATGGGGATAATCCCTGTCTAATGAACTAAGGTTGTTATAAAGGTTAACCTGACATAACGTATATATGTATAGATAGATGAATTAATGGGCCACAGACAGAGAGACTGGGAAGGCTGCACAAGGCTTGACAGAATGCGAGTCATATACTGGAGATTAATAATGTCTTTTTGTATTCACTTCATCTCAGATTATAAAAATAATATCTCTAGCTTTACTGATTTTGTAATACTCTTCCCCAAACATCTTTCATTATTATGCACTCTTAGTATATTGTGACTTCTTCCCATCCACTAATGGTTAGTATTAAGAGTAGAGGCAGAGATTGTGAGCATAACTTATAATACATACATATCAAATGTAATAATACAATCAAAACATGCACGTAGAAATGAGTGTGTAGATAAACACATTTTGGGCTGAGTACTGTAAAATTCTGTAAGAGTAATCACCGACTAATAAAAAATAACATCTCTCTTATAAAGAAAAAAAGGAAAGTATAGAAAATTATAAAGAAACAAAATATGCTATCCATAATTCAACTATCCAAACAAATCACACAATTAGAAAATTTATTCCTGGTCTTTTCATGTATGTTTTTACTATATTTGAGATCATTCAATAAAAGTAATTCTATACCATTTTTCTTCATCCAACATATGTTAATGTAGCTATTTCAATAACTGCTTTTTGGCAATAATATTGTTAGTATCATTGGATTTTTTGGAATTTATATAGTTAAGTGATACCTATATCACTAGCTAAATAATGAAGACACATTAAATTCACGTTCACAGCTCCAGAAACAAAGACTCAACCAATTTCCTAAAGAATAGTAACATCATATCGTCAACTCATAAATGTCTAAGGATAGAAGTGCCCTTCCAGGAACTGCATAGACGCCAAATATATAATGATGTGAGCTGAGTCTGAAAGCATTCAGTGAGCCCTGCTGTTTATAATATGGCCTCACTGGCCCAGGGCCTAAAAGCAATCACCTCATAAGTCAAAATTTTAACGAATTATTTTAAAAGTTACCTACTCAAGTAGTTTGGTCTGCCCTCAGCTTTGAATTAAATATATCATCCTGGGGTTGCCTCAAGGTTTGGAATAAAGCTGATAAAATTTATTTTACAGTTTTAGTACCCAAATAGTATTGAATTTCTAGGAAATCTAAAATCATGAAAAAATAAGCAAATGAAAGTTAACCTTTCTTCCTGAATAGTTTGGTGGTATTTAAGCACACAAAAGAACTTCAGCAATGTCTATGAAAAGATATTTTGAAATAATGGAGCTGGTTTACGAGGGATATCTATTCCTACAAAGTAGAGATTAACATATTTAATTAAAATAGTCCAGAGAACACAGTCTAACATTTGTCCTAAAATAAGATGAACATTTTCACAATTATTATGCACTCACCACTTTTTCCCTACTGCCTTGTCTTATTTTTCCTTCTCTGATCTCAAAACTCCAATCATGCAGGCATATATCAAATGCTATGTATTAACCTTTTATAAATTCACACTATTGGTTCTATTGAATTAAAACATTTATATACATATATATATATTCATACCTATCTGTATATCCATCTAGAAATTTTTTAAAGCAGGTGAATTAATTCAATTACATTTAATCATTGCTAACATCAGCATGACATATTCAAAGGCATATCACTTTTTAAATTAATACTGAAATTTCATTGCATAAGACTAACAAAGAGATGCATGGAAAAAAATGTCTTGAAAAAATTGTCTTAGTGTGAATTACGGTAAAGAAATGGTGGGCTACAGTAATAATAGAGGATATAAATCTTAATTACAGCCATTCCATTTTAAAATTGAGATGGTATGAGATAAGGGAAACAGAATCTACATCTGCTCATGGATACTCTATTCCTAGGTCAGCTCCCATTCTTGGGAAAACATAGAGATAACTGATAGAAAAAGAAGAACGCCTATGTTGTGAACTCGTATGTGAAGTTTCTACTGTCATACAATAGAATAACTGGTTCTGAGTAGGGTCAAGTTGTAAGAAAATAAACTAAGATAGAAACTAAGTTGCATGAACTGGGCCAATATAAGAGGTTGCAAGAGGAAGGACTGAGATGCAAATTAGGTTCCATAATAATCCAAAGTCAAGCCTTCCATTCACTGGATCTAGGATAATTGTTAACTTTAAATCTTGGAAGGACAGATAAAGCATTGTCATGCCTTCTAATTCTAATAAATTGAGCCCAGAAACTGGGATGCTCCAAAAACTTTAGGTGGGAAACAGAAACAGAATTGAGAAGTTAGTGCAGGTGAAGGTGGAGATGACAATGTAACATTGAAGACTTAAATGAAAGTTTCTAATACTTGAAAGTCCTTAACTAGGACCAACTACTCTTAAAGCTGCAAAACTTGGTCAGGCTCTCAAAGCTGTTGTAATTGCTCCTTATAGTTTTTCACTGCCAATAAATATGCTGAATCATATAAGGAGGTCACAGGATTCCCATGTTTACTCCTAATAAGAAGAAAAAAAAGGAGCTATTTCTAATTTTTGATCAGGAATTAACCATTTTTTTTTTCATTGACAGAGAGGGGTATAAAATTACCATTAAAAGAAGACTGGATTAATCCATTCTTGCATTACTATAAATACCTGACACTGACTAATTTAAAAAGAAAAGGGATTTAATTGGCTTACAGTCCCACAGGTTAAACAGGAAGCATGATCTTGCATCTGCCCAGCTTCTAGGGAGGCCTCAGGAAACTTATCATCATGGTGGAAAAGAAGGGGGCCACTTTATATGGTGGGAGAAGGAGGAAGAGGGGGTGAGGTGCCTCACATTTTTAGACAACCAAATCTCACAAGAACTCACTCACTGTCATGAGTACAGTACTAAGGGGGATGGTGCTAAACCATTCATGGGAAATCCATTCCCATGATTCAATCACCTCCCACCAGGCCCCACTTCCAACACTGAGGATTACAATTTGACTTGAGATTTGGTAGGGACACAGATCCAAAGCATATCATTCTGCCACTGCCCCATACAATCACACCTTTCCAATAGTTCTCCAAAGTCTTAATTCATTCCAGCATTAATTCAAAATTCCAAAGTCCAAAGTCTTATCTGAGACAAGGCAAATCCCTTCCATGTATGAGCCTGTTAAATAAAAACAAGTTACTTACTTCCAATATACAATGGAGGTATAGGCATTTGGTAAATACTCCAGTTACAAAAGGGAAAAATTGGCCAGAACAAAGGACCTATGGGCCTCATGCAAGTCTGAAACCCAGCAGCACAGTCATTACATCTTATAATTCCAAAATAATATCCTTTGACTCCATCCATGTCTCACATCCAGGGCACACTGGTGTGAGGAGTGAGCTCCCAAGGCCCTGGAAAGCTCTGCCCTTGTGGCTTTGCAGGATTTAGCCCCCACAGCTGCTCTCATGAGCTGGGGTTGAGTGTCTGCATCTTTTCCAGACACAGAGTGAAAGTTGTCAGTGGATCTACCTTCACAGGACCTGGAGGATGGTGGCCCTCTTCTCACAGCTGCACTAGACAGTGCCCAAGTGGGGACTCTGTATGGAGAATCCAATCCCACATCTCCCTGCCCAACTGCCCTAGTAGAGGTTCTTTGTGAGGGCTCTGCCCCTGCAGCAGGCTTCTGCCTGGACATGCAGGCTTTTTCATACATCCTCTGAAATCTAGGTGAAGGTTCCCAAACCCCAACTCTTGCACTCTGTGCACCTGCAGGCTTAATACCACATGGAAACCACCAAGACTTACAGCTTGCACCCTCCAAGGCAGCAACATGAGCTTTATCTGGGGGCCCTTGAGCCATGGCTGGAGCTGGAACAGCTGGGATGCAGGGAACAGTGTGCCGAGGCTGTGCAGGGAAGCATGGCCCTGGGCCTGGCCTCCAAAACCTTCAGTTTTTCTAGGCCACAGGGCCTGTGATGGGAGGGACTGTCACACAGGTCTCTGAAATGCTTTTGAGGCCTTTTCTCCATTGTCTTGGCTGTTAGCACTTGGCTCCTTTTTGCTTATGCGAATTTCTGCAGTCTGTTTGAATTCCTCCTCTGAAAATGGGATTTTCTTTTCTACCACATGAGCAGACTGCAAATTTTCTAAACTTTTATACTCTGCTTCTCCTTTAAAAATAAGTTCCAACTTTAGGTCATTTCTTCGCTCACACATATGAGCATAGATGGTTAGAAGCAGCCAGGCTACATCATGGACACTTTACTGTTTAAAAATTTCTTCCATGAGATACCCTAAATCATCATTCCCAAGTTCAAAGTTCCATAGATCCCTAGCCCAGGGGCACAGTGAAGCCAAATTCTTTGCTGAGACATAGCAAAGGTGACCTTTGCTCCAATTCCCAATGAGTTTTTTATTTCCATTTGAGACCTCATCAGCCTGGTCTTCACTGCCCATATCACTATCAGCATTTTGGTCATAACCATTTAACCATTTTCTATGATGTTTCAAACTTTCCCTCATGTTCTTGTCTTTTTCTGAACCTTCCAAACTCTTTCAACTTCTGCCAGTTACCCAATTTAAAAGTGGCTTCAACATTTCAGATATCTTTGCAGCAATGCCCCTTTCCTTGGTACCAATTTTCTGTATTAGTCTGTTCTCACATTGCTATAAAGAAATACCTGAGACTGGGTAATTTATAAAGAAAAGAGGTTTAATTGGCTCATCATTCCAGAAGCTGTACAGAAAACATGCTGGCATCTGCTCAGCTTCTGGGGATGCCTCAGGAAACCTACAATCATGATAGAGGTGAAGGGGGAGCAGACACTTCACATGGTGAAAGCAGGAGGAAGACAGAGAGCAGGGAGGTACTACACACTTTAAAACAACCAGATCTAATAAGAACTCACTCACTGTCATGAGGACAGTACCAAGGGGAATGGTGCTAAACCATGCATGAAAAATACGACCCTGTGATCCAGTCACCTCCCACCAGGCCCCACCACCAACACTTGGGATGACAATTCAACTTGATTTTTGGTGGGGACACAGATCCAAACCATATCAGAGATCTTTGGTGGAAGAGCATGGAGTAGAATAAATTACTAGGTTATAGTTATATACTTGAAATTATAAAATTGAGAATCATAGGATATCTAAATTTCACATATTTATATAAGATACTTCTTAGTAAGGGTTTTATTTTAGAACAGTTTAGATTTATGAAATTATTGTGAAGATAGCCCAGACAATTCCCATATACCCTACACTCAGTTTTCTCTTAGTATTAACATCTTACATTAGTTTGGTACATTTGCTATACTTAATGACCAATTATTGTTACATTAAATTAATTAAAGTTTTAGTCCTATTTAGATTTCCTTAGTTTGAACTTAATGTCATTATTCTATTCCAGGATCCCATCCAGGATACCACATTACATTTTGTATTCATGTCTCCTTAAGTGCCTCTTGGCTTTGACAATTTTTTAGACATTACTTGCTTTTGGAGACCTTGAGAGTTTTAATAAGTATAGGTTAGGTTTTTGCAGAATGTTTCTCTCGTTTGAGATTTGTTTTTTTTCCCATGATTAGACAGGGGTTATGCTTCTGTTTTGTTTTTTTGAGGAAAGGCCACAGATGTTATATGCCATTCTCATGATATCATATGAAGGTTACATACTATCAGTATGATTTATCACTGTTGATACTGATTTTGATCACCTGTCTGAGGTAGCATTTGTCAAGTTTGCCTACTCTAAAATTTTTTTCCCTATTTCTACACTTTATTCTTCGGAAGGAAGTCACTATCCAAAGCTCACACTGAAGGAATGAGGAGTTATGCTTTACCTAATCAAAAGTGGAGTATCTACATGAATTATTTTAAATTCTTCTGCATGTGAGGTTTATCTACTCTTCCCATTTGTTCATTTATTGAGGAATTTTTGTATATCAGCATGAACTCAGGTATATTTGTTTTATACATTGTGTTATAATCCAACATTATTTATTTTGTTGCTTACATTGTTCCAGCTTCAGTCACTGATAGTTCTTCCAGTTGGTTCCTGTCTCTCTTTGGCATATTTGTTCCCATCATTCTATCATTCTGGGATTTTTGAAAGTTTGTTTTTGTTTTGTTTTTGTTTGTTTGTTTGTAAACACTTTCTCATGTTCTGGTACTACAAAATTTTGCAGACTCCTTTTGTGTATTTTCTGTCCCAGTCATAGAATCAACCGTAACTTCAACAAGTCCTGTTTCCTTATATCTGGGTACTACTGGTTTTTGTTATTTTTAGCACCAACCAGCTGCAGAGCAAGGGAATATGTGTGTATATACTAACCAGTGTATTTACACATTTTTATGAATATTTTCATATGTAACCATCTGTATCTCTGTTAAGCAAAACATGAGTTTGTACTTATATCTCCAACTCTAATCCATTAACACATGGATAGTTTTAGCTTCCTGCCCTTGCATATTGGTAACTTCTCATGCCAACAGTAACAAATCTGGCATCCATAATCCACCATACATTTAATTATTCAATTCTCATATAAAAGAATAGTAGGATTAGACTTTTAAACCTGTATCCCTGCAGGAAACAACTTTATCAACTAGAGTACAGTACTTACATAGCTTTCCAAAATTACAAAAATCAGTACTTTCCTCCTTACACTCACTTCGTTGAGGTTGGATCATACATTTGGAATACAGTTAAATTGTTTTGTCACATTTTGTATTCCATCAGGAGATTCAATGACCTCCTACAGGAATTTATTAAGCCTTTGCATATAATGAGGTGAATGCATTGTGCTGTAATTTCTATGGGTTTTGACAAATGCATAGTGTCATGTATCTGCCATTACAGTATTATACATAATAGTTTCACTGTCCTAAAATATTTTATATTTTTCACTTATTTAATACTTTCCTCATCCTCTACGCCACAGCCCTGGAAACAACTGATTTTTTTTTTTTTTTTTACCATCTCTATGGTTTTGACTTTTCCAAAATGTCAAATAATTTTTATTATAGTATACGTAGCATTTCCAGATTAGATTCTTTCACATAGTAACTAGTTAAGATTCATCCATGTCTTTTCATGCTTTGATAGTCACTTCTTTTTATCACTGAATAATACTCCAACTTGTATGTAGTTTCTTTATCCATTCACTTTTGAAAACCATCTTGGTTGCTTCTAGTCTTTGTTGATTAAAAATAGAGCTGCTGTAACCATCCATGTGTATATTTTTGCAAGGACATAATTTTTTGCTTCATTTAGGTAAATATGTAAGACCAAGAGTGCTAGATTGTACAGCAAGAAGAGTTTAGCTTTCCCAGAAAATGTCAAACTATTCTTCAAAGGAGCTATGTCGTTTTGGATTCTCAAAGGCAATGATTGAGAGTTTCCGGTTGCTCTGCATTCTTGCTAGCAATTTGCATTGCCAGATTTTTAGATTTTAGCTATTGTAATAGACGTGCAGTGGTATTTCTTTAGTTTTTCTTTGAAATTTTGTTTAATTTGAAATTCCCTAATGAGAAATGATACTAACTATCCTTTTGTATGGTTATTTGCTATTTGTATATCTTCTTTGATGTTTTTTGCCCACTATTAAATTATATTGCATATTTTATTTTTGCTCTGTTTAATAATTCTCTGTATATTTTGGACACAAATCTATTATCTGATATGTGTTTTTAAAGTATTTTCATGCAGTCTATCATAGAGTATTTCTTAGAGAAATTGAAAATTTTAATAATGTTCAACTTTTTGTTTTCATAGATTGTGCTTTTGGTGTTGTATCTAAAAGGTTCTCCCCAGGAAAATAATCACATTGATTTTATTGTAGATTTTCTTCAGAAGTTTATAGTTTTGAATATTATATTGAAGGCTAATAACCATTTTGAGTTAATTTTTGTGAAATGTATAAGTTCTAGGTCTGAATTTACTCTCTTTCTCTCTCTGCATAATACTATTGTCAATGACTATTTGTTAAAAGAGTGCCTTTTCTCTACTGAATTGCCTGTGCTCTTTTATCAAAGATAATCTGACTGTATATGTATTTGTATGTGCAAGCTTTCTATTCTGTTCATTGACCTATGTGTTTATACTTTCCACAAAACCATCCTGTCTTCACTTCTATTTTATAGTAAGTGTTGAAATAATAAATCTTTTTAGTAAGTACAGTAAACAAAATGTAAGTGTCAGTTTCCCAACTTTGTTCTTCTTCTTCAACACTGTTTTGGCTATTCTAGGTTTTTTGCCTTTCCATATAAACTGCTTAGTCATTTTGCTCATAGATACAAAATAGCTTATTGGGCTTTTGATCATGGTGTATTGAATCTGTAGATCAAGTTGAAAGCACTGACATATAAACAATATTTAGTTTTCCAATCCATGAACATAGAATATCTCTCTATTGTCTTAGACCTTCTTTGATTTCTTTGTCTGATAATATGAGTTTTATAGTTTTCTGTACAGGTATCTTTTGCATATTTTGTTAGATTTATATCTTAGCATATCATTTTTTAGTGTTACAGTAAATGTCATTTTTTTGTTTTATTTTTAAATTTCAAATTCTAATTGTTCATTTCTGGTATATAGGAAAGTAATAACTTTTGTGGATTGAAATTTTATCCAGAGACCTTCCTATATTTGCTTATTAGTTCAAATTGAGTTTTTTAATCAGTGCTCTGGGAATTTCTATATATACAATTATGCTATTGGTGAACAAAGACAGTTTTGTTTATTTCTTCCCAATCTTTTTACCTTTTATATTTTTCTTGTCTTGTTGCACTAGCTAGGACTTCCAGTATGGCATTCCATAGGAATGGTGACAGATGACATCCTGGCCTTGCTCCTGATGCTGGCAGAAGTGACCAGTTTCCCATCATTTAAGTATGTTAGTTGCAGATTTTTTGTAGGTGTTCCTTATAAAGCTGAGAAAACACACCTATTCTTAATCTACTCAGAATTTTCATTATGAATTGGTTTGAATTTTGTCAAATGCTTTTTATGCATAAATTTATAAAATCATATGATTTTTCTTTTTTAGCCCATGGATTTGATAGATTACATTCATTGAGCTTCAAAGGTTTAAAAAGCCTCACAATAACCGAAAAAATATCACTGGATTGCAAAGTATAATTCTCTATACACTATTGGATTTAATTTGCTAATATTTTGTCGCAACATTTGTGTTTATGTTCACTAGAGATAGTAGATCTTGGTTTTCCTTTTTTTTTTATATGGACTTTATCTTGGTTTGGTTAATGCTAAACTCAAAGAATAAGGTAGGAAGTATTACCTCTGCTTATATTTTCTGGAAGAGATTGTAGAGAATTCTATCATTTCCCCCTCATCCGTCACCCTTTAATTGCATGGAAGAATTCACCAG
The DNA here is from genome assembly GCF_000001405.40 of Homo sapiens. Taxonomy (NCBI): domain Eukaryota; kingdom Metazoa; phylum Chordata; class Mammalia; order Primates; family Hominidae; genus Homo; species Homo sapiens. Next base: position 96,231,784 of record NC_000004.12, on the reverse strand, counting down.
TGAAGCCATTGGAGTCTGATGCTTTCTGTTTTGGAAGCCTATTAATCATTGGTTCAATTTTTAAGAAACAAAGACCCATTTACTTTATCTATTTCTATGTATGTGACTTTTGGTAGTTTGTGTTTTTCAAGAAAACGAAAAATTTCACTTAAGATAGGAAATAGTTAAAAATGTTTATAAAATTTGTTAACGTAGAGTTATTTGTAGTATTTTTTTATCATTTTAATGTTGATGGTATCAGTAGTCATGATCACTTTTTAATTTTTGATATTGATAATTTGTGTTTTTTATTTTTCTTGATTAGCCTAGCTATAGGTTTATCAATTTTATTAAAACTTTAAAGACCCAACTTTTGGTTTTGGTGATCTTTCTCTTTAGTTTTCCTGGTTTCAATTTCATTTACTTCTCCTCCAAATTTTATTATATATTTTATTTTTTAGAATTTAGAATTAAAATGTATTTCTTTTTTTAGTTTTCTAAATGAGAAACTTAGGTTATTGATTTTAGATCTTCCACTATTTTCTAATGTGTGTAATGCTATAAATTTCCCTGTGCATACATAAATTTTGATAAGTTGTATTTTCATTTAGTTCAATAAATTTAAAATTTTTCTTTAGCTTTGTTTTTTCTGTGTTTATTGTTTAATTTTTGAAGTGTATTATTTAGAAGTGTATTTAATTTCCATATATTTGTGAATTTCCAAAATCTTTCTGTTATTGAATTCTATGTCATTCTATGGTGAAATCTGTATTATTTTAATTTTTTAACTTATTGAGTCTTGCTTTATGGCCTACAATATCATCTGTCTTGGTAAATATTCCAGGAGATCTTGAGAAGGATAGGTATTCTGCTCTTGTTACATGGAGTAATCTATAAATGATAATTAGATTAACTAGAATGACAGTGTTGTTCAGGTCAACTATATCCTAACTGATTTTCTGCTAGCTTGATCTACAAATTACTGAAAGACGTTGAAATTTTTAACTATAATAGTTGATTTATCTATTTCTGCCTTCATTTCTATCAATCTTTGCCTTATACATTTTGAGACTCTGTTGATAGATGGACACACAGGAAAAATATGCCTTCTTGAGGGATTGATCCTTTTATCATTATATAATGACCCTCTTTATCTCTGATAATTTTACTTGCTCTGAAATCATTGTATGAAGTTAATAAAGCTATTTCAGCTTTCTTTTGATTAGTCTTCACACAGTATACCTTTTCCTATCCCTTTACTTGTGTCTTGGTGGTTGTTTTGTTGTGTGTGTGTGTGTGTGTGCGCGCGCGCGCGCACGCACGCGCGTGAGTTTACTCTCCTCTCACTGTCTCTTTTATTTGGTGTGTTTAGATGACTCACATTTAAAGTGGCTACTGATATAGTTAGGATAATTAATTATCCATCTACCATTTTTAACTGTTGTCTATTTATTGCATTTGTTTCTTGCTTCTTCCCACCTGCCACCATTTTTCTTCCTTCTCTGATTTTGATAATTTTATATTATTTCATTTTGTCTCCACTTTTAGTACAGCAATTATACATCCTTTAAAAAAATTTTAGTGGGTGCCCTCAAGTTTTTAATACATTTTAACTCACCATATTCACCTATAAATAATACTATAGCACTCCACAGATAGTGCAGATATTTTATAATTGAATATTCTCAATTCCATCTTCCTGTTCCTTATGACATTGCTTTCATTCATTTCAATTATTCATAATTTATAATCACATAATTATTACTATTATATTTAGCAAACAGTTATCAATTCAGAATAAGAAAACACTTAACATTCTTCCATTATTTAAGTAGATTTGAGTTTCTGACCTATATAACTTTCCTTTCCTTGGTTAACATTTTTTTGTCTGTTTTTACAGAGACAGGGCCCTGCTATGTTGCCCAGGCTGGTCTTGAACTCCTGGCTTCATGTAATCCTCCCACCTCAGCCTCCCAAATTGCTGACATTACAGGCATGAGCCACCATGTCCAGCTGAACAACTTTTTTTTTTTTTTTTTTTTTTAACATTTCTTGCAGAGCACATCTACTGGCAACAAATACCTTCAGCTTTTGTCTGAAAAGTCTTTATTTCTCTTTCACGTTTGAAGGATAATCCCACTGGATATGAAATTCTAGGTTAGTATTTGTATTGTTCTCTTTTTCAAAGACTTGAAACATTGCACACCACTATTCTTGCTTCCATGATTTCTAATGAGAAGTGTTCTATAATCTTATTTTATTTCTATATAGGTGAGTTATTCTCCCTTTTACTTTGGTTTCTTTCAAAATTTAAAAAATTTACATTTAAAGCAGTTATTGATACAGTTGGATTGTTTAATTAGTCTACCATTTGTTTTAAACTCTTTTCTATTCATTGCATTTGTTTCTTGCTTCCTCTCCCCACCCCCATTTTTCTCCCTTCCCTGATGTGAGCATTTTATATTATTCTATTTTATCTCCTCTTTTAGCACATACATTATAATTCATTTGAAATGTGTTTTTTCCCCTTTTACTCTGGGGTCTTTCAAAATATTCTACATATCTTTGGTATTCTGCAGTTTCAATATGATATGCTTAGGTATAATTTTTTGGTATTTATCCTGAACTTCCTGGACTTTCTGTCATTACTTTTGGAAAATTCTCACCTATTATGACATCCAATGTTTTCTTCTCTGTTTTCTCTTTCTTCTCCTTTTGATCTCCTATCCTTTTAATCTCCTACTTATGTGTATGAGACAATTTCAAAATTGTACTACTGTTGTCAGATATTCCTATTTGATTTCTAATTATTTTTCTCTTTGCATTTTAGTTTGCAAAATTTCTTCTGACTTATCCTGACCTCTGTGATATGTTCCTCAGATATGACCTGTCTGCTGATGAGACCACAAAAGGCAGTAGCCATTTCTAGAGGTGTTTTTGATTTCTAGAATTTTCTCTTGAGTCTTTCAGTCTCTCTGCTTACAATATCCATCTGTTATTGCATGTTGTCTACTTCTTCCATTACAGCCTGCTATGGTCTGAATGTTTGTTACTCTCTCACGCCCCCTCACTGCTGCCAAAGTTATGTTTACACCTAACCACCAATGTGATGGTATCAGGAAGTGGAGACTTTGGGAGGTTATTAGGTCATGAGGGCAGAATCCTGATGAACGGGATTAGTGTCCTTTTAAGAGAGGCTCTGGAGAGTTGCTTTGTTCCTTCCGTCATGTGAGAATGCAGCCTGGAGGCACCGTCTATGAACCAGGAAGAGGTTCACCAGACTCCAAATCTGGCAGTGACTTAATGTTGGACTTCTCAACATCTAGAACAGTGAGAGATAAATTTCTGTTGTTTATAAGATACCCAGCTTAAGGTATTTTGTCATAGCATCATGAAGGGACTAAGAGCCTTTAACATATCAATCATTGTTTTAAATTCCCTATTTTCTAACACCCTCATGTGTCATATCAGAGTCTTATTATGAGCATTGCATTATCTCCTCAGTCTATGTTATCTTGTTTTTCAATATGCCTAGTAATAGTTTTTTTGAAACCTGGACATGTATTGACTATAAAAAACGAAGTAAACAGATGTTTACTGTGAAGATTTATGTTAATCTGGCTACGAATTGGGCTGTGGTTAATGTTTACTATAATTTTAGTTGCCAGAGACTTTGTCTTCCTCTAATTTTTCCTTTCCCTCTAGTCTGTGTGTTTTCCCAAGTATCACTCCTTATGAAGAATTTGTTTCTTGCAGCTCTTTCGGCTATGATCCACTGCTATTATGCCTGAGACTTGTTGATGTGATAGTAATACATGGATGATAGAATTCTAATATTGTAAGATTATGTCTAAGTGTTTAAAGGCTGAGACATAATCTTACAATATTATAATTCTTTTTTGGTCTTTAAAAAAATCATAAATTTTTCTCCTCTTGGGTAGCTTTTTTTTTCTTCATCTTCTAGGCAAGAGAGAAAGACTAGAGCAATCTGGAGTGGCACAAATGCCTTGACCCACCTGGAATAATCCTCTAACAAAGTACGTTGCCCTGAAACACAAGGATTTGTCATGGAGAGTGTGCTCAGTGTAATTCAAAAGAGCTATTCTTCCCTACCAACTGCCGGAACCATGAGGGGATCCTTCTTTGATATTCACCACAAGGACCTCGTGAGATGTCTAGAGGTAAATCCCATAAAAGCTTTGGGGTCCTCTAAGACTACACCCCCCGGGTACCCAGAAAGTTTATATTCTTGCGCTAGTGTACACTAAACAAATTTAAGTTAGCAGTGCATTATTGGAATAGATATGTGTATTGATGATTTTTACTTTCCTCTACTTATCAAAAATTATCTTCTTTTCTTCGTTTAAATTTATAAATAACAAATCTTCAATAAAGACATAAGGACTCTTAAACTCAACTGTTTCTCATACACAGTTACAACATATGATATATTCTGCTTGTTTTTTAAAACCATAGTTGCACATTATAATGTCTGGCATATTTTCCATTTAATATTGTACCTTCGGGAGTAGGTGAGGCCAGTTAAGATTATAATAACCTCTGTTGCTATACTTTGTTCTTAAGACTGCAAAAAAAAAAAAAGGAAAAAAAAAAACCTTTGTAAATACAGTGACTAGGTTTTTTTTGATGAACAATATACTCGTATAGAAGAATTAATAGGGTAAATATAACTTTTTTTAACTACATAAGGATATTTTATAACCAACAATTGAATGTCTTCAGAGCTATTTTGAATCTCTTTAATCAACCAGTCTCTGAACCAAAATTTTGTAAAATGAATTGACTTCTACATTATATCAATATTGATTTTTACAGTACAAATATAATAATCTTAGTTGTACAACTGAATATAGTCGAAAAAATGCTATAAATAAGCCAACTATCTTTTTCTTTCTTCTGGGTATATTAAATTGCTAAGCCTTACTGAAGTACAAATTATTGAACACATAAGTATTGACATTTTCGGTGGGTGTAAAATATTCATCATACAGGACTTTCAACATTTTTACAGAATTAAAACTTTTACAAATAAAAATGAGCTAGGAGTGGGAGAATTAGCATTGGGACTAGGATGGCCTGTGCTGGTCTGTAGGCATCATGGCTCCTTGAAATAGGCAACAAATTAGACACTTCATCTCTGGAACCAAACTCCTTCATAGCAGGGTCTGAACTACCTGCCTCATGTCTATCCCCTACAGTTGCAATTGTAGAGTTGGTGGTATGTATTCTTTGAGACATAGATTTATTCATGATGATCATATGAATGAAACATTCACTTCTCTTTTCTCAGTGATTTTGTTAAAACATCTATATGGCAGTGTAATTAATACACGCAAAACTGCACACATTTAAAGTGTTCTGACATTTGTATATACCTGTAGAGCTATTAATACAATCAAGATAACAAACATACTTGCCACCACCCAAAAGTTTTCTTGTGTCTCTTTGTAACTCCTCATTGCAGTCTCACTCTCCCAAACCCCAGGGAACAATGCATTTGCTTTCTGTCACTAGAGATAAGTTTCCATTTTACAGAGTTTTATATAAAGGGCATCATGCAGTATGTACTCTTTCATGTTGCTTGGCTTCTTTGACTCACCATAGCTATCCTAGATTCATCCATGTTGTTAGAGGTATCAGTAGTTCATTCTTTTAATTTCTGAGTAGCAATTCAATACATAGACACACCACAATTTGATTACACATTTCTAGGTGAACATTTGAATTGTTTTTAGCTTTTGTCTATTACAAATAAAGCTGCTGTAAACACTCACATACAATTTTTTTTCATGAAAATATGGTATTATTTCTCTTCGGTAAATACTTAGTGAAATAACTGAGCATGTGGAAAGAGGATATTTAACTTTTTAAGAAATTGCAAAAATGTTTTCCAAAGTGGTATAATATTTTACATACTCACCCAACAGTTTGTGAGCATTTCATTTGACTCAAATCCTTATAACACTTGATATGGCCATTTTAATTTTAGACATTCTAATATGTATGAGGCAGCATCAAATTATGATTTCAGTTGACATTTCCTTAATGACTAATGATATTGAGAATTTTTTTCATAGGCTTATTTGCCATCTGTGTATCTTCTTTAATGAAATATCCATGTAAATCTATTGCCATTTTTAGGGGGTTGTTGGTTGTTTTATTATTGAATTTAAAAGTTCTTTACATATTCTGGATATAAGCCCTTTATCAGATATGCATTTGCAAACATTTTCTATAGTCTTGTCCTTTCATTCTCTTGAAGTATTAACTCTTTAACTATAAATTTCTGTCCAGAATTTTTTAAATGTACATAACTAAAAACCCCATGATATTAACTTAATGTTTATTTATCAAATAGGAATGATATTAACATCCTTCTCTCTTGTGATTTACATTAATTATCAATCATGCTTATGGTCCAAGTACTCAAATATTCCTAATCCCTCTACTTGTAAAATTTTTTCGTAAAATAAATACCCGAAATATAATCTTCATGAAATATCATTTGAAACAAATCAGATATAAGTATTTATTGAATAAGTTTTCTGAAAGAGATGCTGCCAAGTCTGAGTTTGCTTTATTAGATGATTTAAAGTATCTTATGCCCAGCCCCACTACCAATGTCACCAAAAATGTTAAGAATTAAATTTAGGGGGAAAAAAAATCAGCTTCTCATTGTTTCTAATGAAGCATGCTATCTTGATGAGTTTTTGATAAAAATAATTGTTATGAGTGATTAATTATTAATAATTCCTAAGTGGCTAGTAATCAGTAATTATTAATCATTCTTCAGGGAGACATGAAAAGGCAACAGAATATATTTATTTATTTAGACTTATGCTTTCTGTATTTCTATTTCTATATATTTATTTATCTTTACACTTACAATGCTTATGAATCCTGTTGATCTTCCTTTCTCTTGTTGGATAAAGTGTACTTTCATAAAGTTAAGAGATTTACTAAAGGGTATTTAAAACAAATGCCTATTGTGTGCCAAGAGATACTTTATCTCCATAAAGCTTCTATTTCTAAAGTGGTAAAAATGGAACAGAAGTCCTTCAGGTTCTGCCTTTTTGCTGAATGCATTGATGCTGAATAGTTTGCTACAAATATTTTAAATGTTATTTCCTGGCCTTTTGAAATAAAAACAATGACATTTAGAATGCAGCCAAATAGTATTAATCTGAATTCTCTGCCTCCAAGTTATATTCGCAATTTATCTCCAGCAGAGTTTCATGGTTAAGGTGACATCACCCAAAATGTCACTCTAGAGAGAGAGTCAGTGACCCTGTTCTTGTAGATAAAAATCCAAACAATGTAATGGGATATATTTCAAATTACAACATGGTGTATCCTAAACGACTCTCAGATTCCAAAGTGTAAGATGATATACAAGCTTCATGCACCCAAAGTCTTTGATTTTCACGTTTCATTTATATATAGCATTAACTCACTAATTCATCTTTCCCAACAAACAGCTATTAAGCACCTAGTATATTTTAGTCACTTGTTTAGTTAATCAACAACAAAAATTCACTGCTTTCATAAATCTTAAAGTCTATTAAGAATGGCAAGCAATGAAAAAGAAAATACATACATTATTGGAAGTTAAGTCATAAAGAGGAAGAAAACAGCAGAAAAGAGAAGACAAAGAGTGCTGCGTTTAGAGGTGGTATGAAATTTTCAATAGAGGGTCAGACAAGGTATCATTAAGAAGGTAACATTTTTTATTTTGTTAACCCCAAACACTTGTATAATACTATCTGCCAGTCACCATTCCAATTCCTTTTCCAATATTAACTCATTTTATCCTCATGACAACTCTATGAAGAAGGTATTATTATTAGCTGTATCTTACAGAAAATGCAACAGAAAAACAGAAAGGTTAACAATTTGCCCAAGATCCACAAAGCTGGAAGGGAGCTGAAGCATCCCCTGAACTCAGCCTGGCTCTAGGCTCCACGCTCTTAGCCATTATACCATCCTGCCTGTCTCTTCTTTGAATAAAGATGTGCAGAAAGTAAGAAGAGGGAGGGCAAGCCATATTGTTATTGGAGGAAATGTAGACTAGACATAGAGAAGTGACAAGGTCCTGAATTGTTTGAAAACCAGCATATGTGGCTGACATAGAATGCAGATGAAGGAAGAGAAGAGGGAGATCAGGTCTGAAAAGGCAAGAGGTCACATAAAAATATTGCTTTTTTACTTTGAGAGAAATGAGGAACCAGTGGAAAGATCTGAGCAGTAATGACATGCTGTGTCTTATTGTAACAGGAATATTGTGTCTCCTGTGTTGAAAATAGGCTGTGGACTATAGGAAAGCAGGACTAAATCCTGGAAATTCCGTATGAAGAATTTGTAATAATGATGAGAGAATATTCCTTGGATCAGGTGAAAATGTTGAAGGTAATGGAAGGGGTCAGATTCTGATGTATTTTGAGTCTGGCCAACAGATTGGTGGTTGATTAGTGTGGGGTATAAAAATAGAGAGAAAACCAGGATGAAACCAAGGATATTGGCCTGAATAAACAGAAGAATAAAGCTGCCATTATTTGAAACGGCAAAACTGCAATAGAAGCAGATTATGGATGGAGGCAGCTTTGAACATGTTAAATGTGATGCCTGCTTGAGAAGTCAAGTAGGCAATTGGATACATGAGTCTGGAGTTCCGGGAAGTGATCCATGCCGAGATATATAAGTTTGGGATCATCAGTGTAGTTAATATCTAAAGTCATGAAACTAGATGAAATAACCAAACCAGTTACTCTGGAGAGAAGAAGAGTGTTTCAGGAATAAGCTAGGTTAATACATGAGCCTTAATATGCTAGGTATTAAATGTAATGTGTCACACATGAAACAGCGAGAAAATCAATGAAGGGGTAGAAGCTAAACTGTTTTCTTTTTAAAATCCTGAGTTATTAACACATGTAGAAAATGCTGGCATACAAATATATATGTTGCATAACACAGAAGACTTTAAAAGTCTAAAATCCATTTGAACTTCATCTGGATAAAGGTTTATATTTTATCAGAATTCCAGATTCTCAAAATTGCTATGACATAATCAAAACTAACATCCTCCATTTAATTTAACTTCTATAAATGGTCCTCCCTTGAAGAGTCCTTGGATAGTTTGATACACAAAAGCTAGCTAATGTTGACACAAGTGACGTATAAATAAGGTAATAACTTTTACTGTATTTATTATTAAGCACAAGTACAGAAAAAGAACAGTAAAGAAAGGAAGGAAGGGGAAGGGAGAAAGAGAGAGAGAGAAAGAGAAAAGAAAGGCAGCAAAATGGATAGATGAAAACAGCCAAATTCCCCCAATGTCTATATATACAAAATTTAAATGGTAAGTTTTACAAGGAGTACCTGGATTCCCTAATCACCCTTCCCCCAATCATGTGAGTAATAATCACAGCCAAAACACACTTTCTGATCATCTGATAATAGGAAATAACTAACTATCTTGACCCGTGGAATTAAGGCTTTCTGAGAGTTGATTTTGTGAAGGAATTGGGCTTTGGACGCTTATGAAAAGCAGATGGATTCTGGGAAGGAATTAAGTGTCTGCTGGTAGGAGGGTGATGGGTTGTTTCATTAATAAAATGTGAACAGCAGGAGGATGTTAATGAATATACGCCCCCAGAACTTGCATATACAATTAATTATATGAAAAAAAACTTGTGGATGTTAATGAACAGAGGTATTTTACAAAAGGAAAGGCCAAAATTGAGGAAAAAGTCATTACTTAATGTATGGTTTTTAAAAATCAGTTTATGCTATTTGCAGTGTGGCATTGCATTTTATTGAGCTTGTAGTCTGAAGATAAGTGAAAATGTAACTAATTAACATGACTTAATATCACATATTCCATGCATTAGAATACTGACTGCACATTTAGAAATTTTTGACAGTTATTTATTTTAATTACATAACATAGTTTCTTCTCAGTTTATCAGGTAATAAGTACTAAATCTTTAAAAATGTGAACTAATTTTGTTTATGTTACAAAATTAACTCTTACGTATTTTTTAAACTAGAAACTCTAGATGAACCAAAAGAACATTAAAAACTATCATAATTCTACTGTCCAGAGATTATCACTGTTACCTCGTTCTCTTCCCAGATCTTTTCTTTCATATAAAATATTCATTTACATGCATCATCTAAAATGAATTTCAGGAGAGTGCTTCAAATATCTGGAGACACCAAAGTGTCTCAAACAAAACAGTGTTCACTTTCAGTGTAGCACAACTACAGGGTCTCTTTTCCTCATTTCAAAACCATATACATATATTTTTTTACATGTCATTGAAGCTAAGACATGTCAATGCAGAAGAATCCTGTAAAAGTAACTTTTTGGGCATGTCTCAGCATTTGCCTTTATCATTTTGCATTTACAGTTAGTGAAGTAAAGTGTCAAGAGTTTTCTGCATATTCAGCAGTCCTCTGGGATCTCCAGTTGGTTGGCTGCTCTACTCCTCCCTGCAACAGAATCAGCCATGCAGCCACTCCTGTAATGTATGGTGCATTGCCATGTGTGGCCATCCGGCTCACGATTGCCATGCATCCCCTGACATCCTAATGCAGGAAATAGGAGCGTCCCTGGATGAGTGACATTCAATTATCCAAGAAAGAAATTCTTAAAGGACCATATGATACAAAGATAAATCACCTTGGCTGACAGCTCCATTACAAAACTGACACATGGAGAAGAGAAGTAGCCCACTGGGCTAAAGGTATTCTCTCAGCCACTCCCTAAGCAATTGTGATGTTTGAGCAAGGAAAGAGCCTCAGCCAGATGATTTGGGCAAGGCCCAAGAGTCACATCATAAGAGGATTAGATTTCCCCTACAATGTCAAGCACCATGTTTCAGACATCAATTATTTGCTAAAAAAAAAAATAAAAAAGATCCTGGAGAAGCCCCTGACAAGTAAATGTAATAATTATTATTATGATATGGTCCCTGACTAGGCTATCCAAAGCTACTACCCCCACCTAGCACCTAACTACCATCATTAATCTAGAATAGATTTGTGTTTCCTTTACTTTTTATGCTTCATTTGGCACAATCCATGTTTGTTTTATTCTTTTTGTTATTATATCTCTACCAACCAGCACAATGTCTGGCACTCAGAAGGCATGAATAAGTATCAGTAAATAAATTAATACGTGAGAAGTATGACTGCCTTATGGGCTGAATACAAACCAACTGCCCCATGTTCTTACCCACAAGGCAAAGGGGTGTAGGCTGCTTCTTCTCTAAATTGATGCTGTAGCAAAAACTAAGCTCTTTGGCTTGCACTGTACTCTCCCCACACCCCCAACTATTTCCACACTATCTCCTGGCATTAGCAAGACAATGAGCTAAGTAAGACTTTTGCTTTTGTCAAAAGAGTTACTAATAGTATTAAAATCATAGGGTTATTGTGGGGTTTCAATTAGACAATGCAAATAAAACACAAAGCACTGTGTCTGGCCTAAAATAAGAGTTCTGTAAACAGTCGCTATTTGGCTGTTGGCCCACTGATGTTAGAACTCTGGGCCAGTACAATTGTCCGAGAGAAAAATATTGTTTGATTCCTCATAGGAAAGCCAGAGCATTTTGGAAGCTCCCTCCTTCACATTCATTCTGTAAGTTATGCAGCTACTTTAGAAGGACAGGTCAAAGAGGAAAAATCCTTCTGAAATGCTACCTCCTACCTTTGTTACTATGGGTAAATCATAGAATTTGAATTTAAAAGGAACTTAATGATAATCAATATAGCCTCCCATTTCATATTTGAATCCTCTCTATAATATTCTCCACAAAGTGTATTCAGCTCCCACAGCCACTTGTGAGAGGCCTGTTCCCAAATACATTCAGGAAAGGTCCACAGGGAAGAACAACGCAAAGTTGCCCATATTTTATTTGTAACACTATACATTTGACAATATGAAATTCTACACTGCATGTCACAATGCACAGTCTGCCATGGAGGGCTTACATTTCTGAAATAATCATGTTCCCATTTTGATTCTAGTAAGAGGAAATGTAATGAAAATGTCAAAAGAGGTTACCAAACGATTTAGGCACATTTTCAATTCCTGTGTTGCATTTTTAATAGTTACATTAAAAGTGAATACTGTAGGGACTCTCTCATACACACATAGGGAAAATGAGGTATTCTGGAGATACAGCTTTGATATAAGTAAAAGCTTTAAAGAGACAGCTATTTAATTATGCATTAATATAAATGTTGAATAAGAGATGTTCGGTAATGAAAAGAGACCCTATTACAGATTATATCCTACTCACCCTATTAATGTTTAGTTCCTGTTACTGGTTGTTGGGATCACCAAGGCTGGACAGACCAGAAGAACATAATTAAATCAGCTAGTTTCTTGGGAGATGGGAGGTTTGAAGGAAATTGATGTCTGTATAGCAAAAGTTAGCCATTGATATAAAATGGCCAGAGGTTCACAGTGAAGGATTGTGTTGTTTTATTGCTTGATATGTCAAAAACACTGTAGGTAGAATGAACACACACACACACATACACACACACTACTATCTTGTAGAAAAGGAGTTTAAAACTGTCAGTAATGTGGTAAAAGTTAGTTCAATTACAAGGATGCTAGATAAAATTCCCTGGATATTGCAAAAGGGCCCTAGTCAGAAGTGCAGGCAAGCTTCTTTATGAACTGAGAAATCTAAAATACATTTAACAAACGGCTACATCATGCTTTGTACTCTAGAATGCCACAGTGCAAGTTGTATTGTGTTATTTTTTACCACCATCATATTTATAAAGTAAAGTTTAAATAAAACATCAAAGCAACCTTTAAAGTTAGAAGTAACAGAAAGGCAGGATTTGGAGTGTGTATGACACAGGTGAAGACTTTGAATGTGATCTCCACACGTTTTCTTCATAGCTCAAGTAGGTACTTCCTTAACACAGAGATTATATTATAAAATGGAACTCAGGAGATACTAAAGGCAATAGGTCTTTCCTTTCTTCCTTAAGTTTTACAATCTTTGAAGAGACTTAAGTACCTATAAAGGACCACATCTTGAGACCCTTTCATCTATTTCCTAGACCAGTGGACTCCTGAATTTGGTGTGAGTATAAAATAAGAAAATAATCAAAAAAATTAAAATTTCTATAATTTGGCAAGATCATAGGATTCAAATTTAACTCTGATTTAAGGAATAAAGGTATAAATAATTATTGTACTCCCAAGTTGGTGATCTGACATATATATCAGCTACAGGTGTAGAAAACCAGTTTCTACTCCAGATGCACTTGCTAAACTAGTTGGAAAGGCAAGATTTACATGGCAAATGATAGGATCGAGATATTATGGTTTGGTATCTAAAGATGAAATGCTACAACTAAGTCTGAGTAGACCTGCTTTTGTAATAAAATTAGGTATAAAATTATGTATTCAATGTTTTAACATGTTCTTTATAACCATTCATGGCTCAGTGGTTCTTATACTTTCCATTTATGAACAAAACCAGAGTACCCCTTGCCTGAGTCATTCCATTGCTCTCTCACCATTGAAATATACTTGTCGCCTATTCTCTCCCAACTTTATTCTTCAGAGATGACAGATACATAATTTGATAAAAATCATTCTGAAGCATTATTTGCATTTCAGCACTTGGATTTCAACAAGGTATTTCATTGACCTAATTTAAAGAGAGACATCTAAGGGAGGTAATCTCAGCACTGTGGCAGGACACTAGGCAAGGCTGGGGGCAGACAGATCAAAATTTGTGTGATCACGTAGATGAAGTCCAGGTTGGGGTCAAAGTTGTCTGGGATCCAGTGCTACTGTTTGTTCTGAGTCACAGATCCCTCATCTTAAAAAACAAAAAAGTTGAAGGTGATTTTTTTCTAATACTTATCATTCAATAATTTTATTTTGTTTCCCACAACTAAGGTATCTATTCAATATCAGTCTTCTTTTCACACATACACACACACACACACAGATACACACTTTCTCTCTCTCCCTTCTCAATTTGCCCCATCCTGTCCTTCTCCAACTAAATAAGGGCTAATATATTCATTAATTAGAATATGTGAATATTCAAATAAAATAGAAACAAAGCTTCTGTCCTCATTAAGGGCTATTTTCCCAGGCTTGAATGTCAAAAGATCAAAATACAAACCAAAGACTAGAATTGTCATAATTATGTTTTATTTATTTCTGAAATTTTTGTACTAAGAAAGCTATTTTCACAATTATTCAAATTAGTGGAATAAATCTCTTGCAGTACTAGGGATGATTTTACAAATAGTCCAACCTTACAAGTAGAGTGGAAAGTGGTGTGAATACACTTAATAAGGAGAAGAAAGCCTTTGGTATAGATCGGAGCTAAACAAGCCATATGCCAAAGCTGGTAAGCAAACTGATTTTAGAATAACACAGTGAAGGGTGGTGTTAGGCAGAAATATAAAGTTGGTAAAATCTGTCCTTGGTATCTTCCTTCTTACTCACCTTTCAGTGTACTTTTCAGCCCAGGTAATCCCGTTTATCCCTGCTTTAGATTGCTTTTATTTATATTGTACTTGATGGATCTTTGGGACAACTCTATTCATCTAAGCTCATTTTCTGGGGAGATGCATGGTATAGCAACAAATCTGACTTGGAAGAGGAAACTGAACATGAATGTCTCTGCCACATTCTGTCTCCCTTTAAGAGAAGCACTCCCCCTAGACAGGTGGGTGTCTTCTGCTGTTTGCCTGCTGAATACAGGAAGAGCACACCTGTGTCGGACCAGGCTAACTTCTAAGACCCACGTTTGGAGACATTTTTTACTAGACCCCTATCAACCTTCAAAGATAAGGTAGAATAATTACCCTTACTGCTAGCTGGGTAGTGATTGCATGCTTTGTAGACCCAAAATACCCCCAGAAGAATCATCCCAAGGGCTGAAAGAAGGGAGTGGGAAGGAGGTAATAGTTGGGAACCAATTTGACTACAGATTCTAATCATGTTCTCCAGTCTAGTACTTACAGAAATGCAGCTAATATTTAGTTTTCCATTTACCTCACTCTTTTGTTCACTTATCTATCACTTCTTAACTGCAGGGTGTGGCGATGTGGTAGGAGAGAGGGTGTTTGATTAAGTGTCACCTTAATCCCTAATGTGGTCAACAATCTGTTATTAGCTGGTAAATATTTTAGCTGACACCATCTAAGGTATATATTTTTCTCATGATAACCTGTATTATCTTGAAAGTCCACTGAAAGCCTATAATGGTGGTGATGGTGTTTATTATTAATTAATATGAGAGATTCCATCTGTGGACCTTTACATATACTCATTCTAATTCTTACAACAATCTTAGAAGGTGGAAATTATTGTCTCTACAGAAAAACAGGATCAGGTAAAAGCACTTAGATAATAATTAGCTGAGCTAGAATTTAAACTAAAATACATACCTCAAAGTTGATCATCTTTTCTGAACAGCACATTGCAATTAGGAGAGATAAACTGTATATACAAATTACAATTTAATCCAGACTTTCATACCCACCATTGAGAAATGCAAATACTAACCTGAATATAAACATAAATAGTAAGAATATAAATCAGGAATACCTGAAATCACCTTAACTCGTATTCTTATTTTTTCCTTCAGATTATTTATCACAATTTATAATTAAATATTTCCATGGTTATTTAATGTTTATTTCCCCAAATGAAATACATGCTCCACATGGACAGGAATCATTTCTAGTTTCTTCACCATTGCATCCTTAGCACTCAGCTCAGAGTCTGGCTCACATTAAATAATCAATATTTGTTGAACAAACAAAAAATACTCAGCCATATTCTCACTTTTAGCTACTCCACTCTTTTCCAATGGAAAAAAAAATTATATACATGGACCAATTAAGCCTTCCTCCAGAATCTTTTTTGGATATATAGGGAGAGCATAACTTAACTGCAATTGAAAATCCAGCATAAAGTCACAGAGGAACAGAGACAATTTCCAGAATTCACTTCAATATGCCCCGCCTTCATAACTATTCTGAATCCTTTCTTCCAACATTCTTCAATGCTTTTTTGTACCACATGCCTTGCTATCCCAGACTACTGTGTCTTTTCAGAATACGACCCTTTTGACCAGGTTTCGGCGACTATGTGAATTTGTCTTCTGCTTGGAATGTTTACCTCACCATTATCAATTTGTTCAAAATGCAATCTTTATTTAAGGTGCAGCATTTACATGAAGATGTCAGCTGCTCTTTCCAGTCAAAGATAATTCATCTGACCTCCTATTAAACATCCTTAAATCTATATTATAGTATTTATCATGGACTATCTGGCATTAAAATTCACTTTATACAATTCTCTCCCTAACAGAATTCAGAGCTCTTTTGTTCCAGACGTTATATTCTCTCGGTTCTTGGTACTGTATCTTTGGCAAGGAAAATAGTCAATTAATGCCTATTAAACTGCATTCTGTTTCTTTATTTATAGTATGAAGATAATGACTAGCTTAATCATCGTGGGATGCTTCAAAATGCCAGAATCATGAAATACTGTCAATAGTTGAAATGACAACTTGTTCCATCAAGAGCTTATTTGTTTTGTCAGTCGTTTTTAAAAATGTGTGTTCTAGCAATTATTGTTGAAAAAAATAAGTGTAGAATGATACAAAAATAGGTTTCAATAATAGATGCAGATCAGATGATTATTTATAAAATTGTTTCTAAACTTGTGTTATATATTAGAAATATAATTTTAAATCAATTGAATTCTGACAAAAGAATATGCATCTTATAAGTATCATAACAGATTTACCTTTTACTATATTAGCAAACACGTTTCCAATAAATTATTTTTTAACATCAAATAAAATAGGAAAAAATTCTGGCGTTTGCCGCCAGAGTGGCCTGTCACAATTGCTGAAATAGAAGATTTGCTTAAGCTTCGTAGAAATGACAGCAAAACAGGGAAGAAAATAATATGGAAAAATGGGGTTTGTGAACTCTCTGGAGATTTTCTACCATGCACAGACCTTTGGGGGTAGTAAGGAATCTCACGGATCTAATTTTCACTGGTCATTTCATTCCAACATAGGTAAATTACCTGTCTATTACAGTTTTTATTGTTTCCTTATGACACCACTGCTTCATTCTCACACCATTGTGTTTCTCATAACCGCCTTTCACCAATTAAGTAATAAATGGAGTCAGATTCTCCCAGTAGTCAACCCTAAATTAGTTATCTTTGGAAGTTATATTAAAATTGTAACTCAAAATATAAGCACCATTTTCAGAAGCTGCTTAATTATTATACAAACACTGAGTAAATCTGACTCAACACATCTTAAATAATTGGTGCCATATATGAAGTGTTGGCTGAGTGCAACTTTCAAAAAACAAATTACTAAGTTGTCATACATCAAGATAGAGTTAGGTTTCCTCTTAGTGAAGGTACAGACTGTTCTTATGCCAAACACAAAAGCTGCATCTTCAGTCAAAGTAGACAAAGGAGTGTGCACACATATGGGTGAACTAAATATGAAGTTGTATAAAAAATTACAGGTATTTATCAGAGATTTGATATTGAATATCAAACGACCATTTCTGAGAAATTATAAAATCATTTCAGTGTGCAAGAAAAATATTTACCTAGAGGAGGTAGGTAAATTAAGAAGATAGTGTAGATTAATCTTTAAGAAAAGGTGGGATGGAACAAGTTGCTTTGGGGATGTCCATGTAATAGCTGTGGTTATTTTCCCTGTTTATTTCATATACCCTTTTCCGATAGGTATCATTCTCCAAGGGTGGTTCACAGATTCTTGAGGATTTCTGAGACATGTTCAAGTGTTTGCAAGGTCAAAGCTGTTCTCATAATAGTGCTAAGATGTTGTGTGACTTTTTCATCATGATGATATTTGCACAAATGACAAAAAGCAATAGAGGATAGAACTGGTGGTTCCTTAGCTTAAATCAAGGGAATGGCACTGAACTATGTTAGTTTAAACCATTGTATTTTCTACTGACATGCACTCATGGGGAAAAGAATTCCACTTTCACTTAAGGTTGTTAAAATAGTAAAAAGTATTAAGTTTATTAAATTACTAATTATATTAAATCTACAATCTTGAGTACTGTCCTTTTTTTTGAGGGAACCAAGTGTTTAGCGTATACATCACACTTTTAATGCAGTAAAAAAGTTATAAGATTTTAATAAAGGATGTGAAGTTCTCTCATTTATACTCGTTCTTATACAGGGGTCATAAAAAGAAATTAAAGAAGTCAAAATATGGTTCGGTATAAGGAAGGAATGTTCTCATGGGCATTGGTTTTCAGAGGTTGAAGAAAGTGAGGTTCTCAACTCCAGAAGTATTCTAGGACAGGCTAGATCATATTTTGGAGGGGTGCTACAGGCTCCCTGGCATAAAGGAAATAACACACTGCCTGAACTTGGAATGAATAAACTACAGTCATTCCTGCATTGAATTTCTTAGCAACTTGCTTTCCCCCAGGTCCACAAATTTGGTCACATAGTCAACTGAATAAAAGCTAAGATTCTCAGAACTGATTGAAGCTAGCATACGTATTTTGCATGACTAGATCAAATATAAACAGGTGAAAAAAGAAAAGAAAGGATAAGAGAAGGGAGGAGAAGAGAGGGGAAGAGAAAGAAAAATAAAAGATCATTTACTCTAAGAATCCAGGTTTGTTTTTATGTCCAATGAGGTCCAAGTTACAGCTGGGCTTGAAATCCACCAAACTCACAAATTTTCTCAAAGGCTAAAGGGTGGGAGCCATTCAGATGTCCTCCCTGAGCCTGAATATACAGCAAATGCAGCTGCACAAGGTCCCTGGAATCTACAAAGTGATCAGAGTAAGGAAGTTTCCATCTAAGCTGCAATGTTTCATTTTCATCGACCACTTGTTTTCTGAGTGTATAGCTGTAATCCAGCTAATTTTGGTCATCCTCTATGTGAAGTTTGGCCTTCAGCTTCTCCATTTCCTTCTCATATCATAACAGTGTCCTGTTTATTTGGTTTTTGTTTTTGTTTTGGGTGTATTTACCCTTCCTCTTTCTTTTCTTCAATAGGTAATAGGATTAAGAGTAATCTTTACAGTTTATTATTTCTATTCTGCTGCAAATGGTAAACACGAGTTCCCTAATGGTCTTAGAGTTGTCTACCGTCACTATTTTCATGGATCTGTTCAGCATTAGGATTTTCTGAGGTTTCTGTCTCTTTATGTAAATGAAAACATCCCCATTTTGCAACATATAGTAATTTAATATTCTGCCAGCTTCCAGTGAAATGCCTTTCCTCACTGGCATTGAGAAATGCCAGTGAGTCTTCCTCAGAAAGAAACAACCCATAGTGAGAAACCTGGCCAGCGTGTGCCTTAGGGACTCACTCCTGAGTGACTTGACATGCATTACATAGACTGATTTGGCTCACACTGCGTGGTTTTCACCATGTTGCAGTGGCAGATGCAAACCTTCAAGGACAGGCCCACCATTTTCTAGGTGATTTGAAGGCTCTCACTAAGAATTTCTTATTCCTCATCTGGCTTCTACCCAGAATTCCACTGGAATCTATTCTGGCCAGGGTTACTTTTGTTTTCCCTGATGATAAAGCAAGTGTTCACTGTCCAGTCCTTATCTGACTGCAGGGAAACTGGACAACACTGACCATTCCAGTGGGGTCCTTTCCATCACTCTGTGACCCCTCTTTCACAGTCTCCACAGGCTTTTCTCCTATGTTTAAATCCCATGTTCCTTACTTTTTCTCCTAGTCCCTCTTCTCTTCCTACTCCACACCATTACTCTGTTGATCTCATTCACTCTAGGGATTTGCATTTCACAGATCTGCAGATAAAGATCTGACCTCTTCTCTGTGTGCTTTATACAAGTTTACACCATATTTCCCCAAGATCTCTTACAAGCAAACCAAATTCACCTTACAAAAAATAAACCTATGCCCTCTCCTCTGCCTCCACCCCCCGCAAATCTGCTCCAGCTCCAGTGCTTCTGATTTCAAACACTGCAGCCAAAAAGTCAAAGCCAAAAAGGAGAGAAACATCTTTGACATGCTGTCTTCCTCATTCCTGCATTCAATCACCTAGGTCCTGACAAATTCAACTCCTAAATATCTCTCAAAGTTGTTGTCCTATCCCACTCTAGGCTATCATCGTTTCCTGTGTAAGTCATAGCAACAGCTTTCCAACTGATCTCCCCAAGAAGAAAACTTTTCCTGCCCTTCAAAACTCTCTCCATATCTCAGCCCATAGAATACTATCTTGTCTCAAGGAAAAGCAACTGTGCAATTGTGTATGTTGCAAACTAAACTGGCCACCCTTTCATGGAATACCATTTTTGTTGGAAATAACTGATAAACTATGGCTATTCAGATTTGGATATCTGACAGAAATATTCTTGAAAGTAAGTCTGTCACGTTAAGGAAAACAAACAATAGTAAGTACTTTTTGCCAATGATAAACTTTGAAATTTTGAGTAAAAATTATAATTTTGGAACAATTGTATCAGCCCGCATGAATTTGACAGCTTTGGTGTGGTACTAACAAATATGATTTGTTATTGTTAATACTGTTGTTATCACATAATGGAATACTACCCAAATATTAGACAGATTTGCATAACCCCGAGAAGTAATCTTCTAAATGACCAATACATGATATTCCAAATATGTTCAAAGTGAAGATAAACCAATGGATTTTACAAAACAAAATATGACAAATTATTTCTTTCATATGGTTGCAGATATTACATTGTAACTTAGATTGAAGAAACTACCCTGTGTTGAGTTTGGTATGGTATTAAAGAAGACTACCTTCAAGTAATATGAAACATCTATACACATATTTTCCTTTTCAAGTACATACATATGAGAGATTTGATTTCTTTATATGCTTCAAGCAAAAAACAAAACATTTCACAACAAATTGAATGCAGAAGCAGTTATGAGAATCCAGACATCCTCCATTAAGTTAGACTTTAAAGAGGTTTGGATAATGGTAAAGTAATGCCACTCTTAATTGTTTTTTTGTTTTGGAAAAGAAGATTTTATTTTTTAAAAATTATTTATTATACTATAAAATTATTAATGTTATATTTAAATGAAATAATGTATAAATAATTTAAAGCTTCTTAGCTTTCATGTCTAATATGGTAAATTTTAACAAGTATAATCCACACAAAAAACAGCACTTTGGTGTCCTCAATAATTCTTAAATATACAAAGAACTTGTAGGACAATAAAAAGTTTCAAAACAATTGTCTTATGTATAATGTGTGATGCAGTGCTGAATAAACACTTATTACCTATTGATTAATTTATTGTTACATCATCAGTTTAATCTTCTCTGTGATTTAATTCCAAATAGTAGTTCCATTATATAAAAATTAGTTTTTATAAATTTTATTTTTCAGATAAAATTAGTTGAAAAATAAATTATTTTTCTAAAAAGGTTTTCTAAATTTTATTTTCTAATCTCAAAGATATACATCTTTAACCCACTAATTCTACCTCTAGGAATTTACCATAAGACAATAATTGAACAAGTGTGTGAAAGATACGTTTTGGAATATCTTCATTGTAGTGTTTTTATGGTAACAAAAATGTGGAAATAAATATTGATCTATAATGAGTTATTTAAATATGTGATAGTGCATCCATATGAGGGCCTATTAAGAGTCACTAAAACATTGTATGTATATTGTATGTATTTTGTATGTATATTGAAACAAGTATGTATTTATGACATATAAACTGGAAAGCATTGATAGGTAAACTATAAAAATAGAAATGTATAAAGATATAACTGAACTCAAAAAGAAGAGGAATATTTTCATGTTCCCAAACAAATGCCGAATATGGAGCAAGCCTGAAGCTGTGGGCTGACTGGGTTTTGGTTCATGTCGAGATAAAGGGAATAAAAGTGCCCCATGCTCCATAGGATCATCAAAGCAAGGCTTCATGCTTGAACCCAGGATCTGAGTGAGGGTCTTCCATTTATAAAAGGATTATGGAAGTAAAAAAGAGAAAACCATCTTCCAACAGCTGCCTGGGGTTTCAGGTTCATTGAAGCTGCACGTAGAGGGAGACAGGAAGACAGAAACAATAAACTTGAGAGAAGAATTGAGCTAATTCTTTTACTAGGTGGCTGCATTCTCTGATAACCATCTCTGAATAGAAATATAAAAACTGATTCTTGACAGAAAATCCTTAAAGGTGGAAGTGGAGGTAACTACAGAGCTGACAGACAGGACTGAATCTATAGAGAATACAAGAATGAAAGATGGGGGAGATGGGGAAGGAGAAGGACAGAAGAAATAGAGATAGAAGAGAGAAAGAAAGAAAGTTTCCTCATCAGAATTAGTAAATAAATGAAAATAAATTTTAAAAAATCAGGAAAATACATGCTAAGAAAGACAGTCAATAATGATAATAATTGAAAGATAAATTGACAGAAGACAAAAATTCTTTAAAAATCAGAAACAGGACTATGAAATGTACATGCTTGGGATTCTAAAAGAAATAAATGTTTTATAATCTGAATTTAAGTGTATAAATATTTTAACTAACCTCATTAATAATTTCCATTATCTAATAAGTTGACATAGTCTATCTTCCACAATTACCCTTTTGGGTATGTGCCCAATATAGCCAAGAAGAAGTTTTTTGTTTTTTTTTTGAGACAGAGTTTCGCTCTCGTTGCCCAGGCTGGAGTGCAATGGCGCAATCTTGGCTCACAGCAACCTCCACTTCCCAGGTTCAAGTGATTCTCCTGCCTCAGCCTCCCCAGTAGCTGGGATTACAGGCATGTGCCACCACGCCCAGCTAATTTTGTATTTTTAGTAGAGACGGGGTTTCTCCATGTTGGTCAGGCTGGTCTCAAACTCCCGAACTCAGGTGATACGCCCACCTCGGCCTCCCAAAGTGCTGGGATTACAGGCATGAGCCACTGCGCCCAGACGCCAAGAAGTTTGGTATGTGTATATGATATAAATGAATGACCTACAGCATTTTTTGTTAAACACACACACAACAACAGTAATAACTACACTGAAACAAGCTAAATTTTCCTAGGAGAACACTTAAATAAATGGTGGCATATTTCTACAATGGTACATAATTGTAGTGAAATTAAATGTAGTAGATATCAAAAGTACAAAAATAGACTAAAATTCAAAAACAGAATAAAAAGCTAAAAGCCAGGTGCATAATAATACCTACAATATAAAGTACTTATGTAAATTTTAAAAATATGTAAAACAATAACTACATATGGATATGTACCTATGTAGTAAACATGACAAAAAGATAGCCATCATCTTTAGAATTATGATTAACACTGGAAAAAGGAGACTAGAAATAGGAAAGAGTACACAAAAGCTTTAATTATTTGTTTTATTATTTAAAAAATCTGAACTACTGTAGCAAAATGTTACCAGTTTTTCTTCACATATATCTTTCTGTACATGTAAAATATTTCATCATAAAATGTTAGTAATTATGCGTAAAATAATTACATTTTAGGATAGTTCATTAGAAAAGTGTTATCTTCATTTGCTATTGTGTCTATAAGGGATATAAATTAATTGTCTAATAAAAACAGGAAAAATAATATAATTGTTTAAATATATTACATAATATTCTGAAGCATATTGAAGTTGTTAACAACCTGACATATATGGATAAATAATAAAGATAAATATTTAATGTAATAATTAAAGAATGTCTTTCACATTTAAATTTATTTTAATGATTATTTCTCAGATGAAATTATGTAAGTAGGATTTTACCAATTTTGCCCAACTGGTAAATATTTATCAACAATGTTGTTACTGTTTAAAGGGAAACTTTTAAGGTTGACAAGTAAACTCTTATCGAATATCTTTTTTTCTTTTTTTGACAGGATCTTGCTTTGTCACCCAGGCTGGAGTGCAGTGGCACCATCATAGTTCACCACTGCCTCAAACTCCTGGGCTCAAGTGATCCTCCCGCCTTTGCCTCCTGAGTAGCTGAGACCACAAGTGTGTGCCACGGTACCTGGCTAATTTCTTTATTTTTTTGTGGAGGTGGGGGTCTCATTATGTTCCACAGGCTGGTCTCAAACTCCTGGCCTCAACTGATCCTTTCCTCTAAGCCTTCCAAAGTGCTGGGGTTAGGGATGTGAGCCACTGCACCCAGTCTGATATTTATAATTTTAAAAATATGTACATATATAACATCTTTAAATTTAAAGACTTAAAACTACATTCTTCTTAAAATTTTCTCAAAGCGAATGGTAGGAATAGCATAACTTATGATGGGCTATAGAAACTTTTTTTAATTTTAGATACATTTGCTTAATGCTACACTTCACTAAAACATGCAAAGTCCATTTAGGAGGAATAACTTCACTCATCAGTTGAAAACATTAACTAATGATTAAGGTGTCAATGGAAAGATTGCTTTGGGACTAGTAATATAAGCAGAAGTGTAATTTCTTAAATTTACAATCAGTTTTTCTGCTTCAAAGATAAATATATTGCTATGACATATACATTTTATTTACTTACATAAGAATTTTATGTATGTTCAGAAAATCTTCTTTTCTTTAATTATACTGAGCAGCCAGTCATAGAGATTTGTAGACTAGCTTTGAAGGCCTAACCAAAGTAAACAAAATGAAAACAATGATGTCTAATATATCTGCTTACATCCTATCCAAACTCTGAAAAACTGCTTTGAAAAAGTAATTGAAAGGATACATAATAGGTAGCTTAAACTAATTTAATGAGTCCACAGTACTATTTGGTAAAACAATATGCTGTATTAGAAAAAGTAATACAAGTAATATCATTCACTATCTGAATTAATTCATCAACATTGTGTTTAGACTTGTTATTGTCTAGAAAATGCTGTTCCTATCTAAACAAAAAAAAAAGAAACTGAGATGCTGACATAAATCAGGTTTCCTGAAAACAGACTCTGAAATGGGGACTTTTGTGCAGAAGGTGCTCTTGGAAGGTTGACCTTCACGAAGCCAGAAGGGCAAGACTAAGCAGAGGGAAAAGCTTATCTACAATGTGATTGCAAGTGAGATTTGATTGCAGGGAGATCTGGTGCTAGAATGGCCCTTTAGAACTTCCATTCATTCCTAATTGAAATGAATGGTGGAGCCTTTACATCCTTGCAGCAGCTCGTGACTGACCATGAGTCCTCCTTAGGAAGGACATGGACATAGGTGAGGCAGTTTCCTGATACTGAGGGCAATCCTCAATGAGAGATGGAGCTGAGAGCTGGCAGCAGCCTATATTGTTAACAGCTGGATATGGCTAGAGTAGCCTGGAGAAGAGAATGGAGGTTGAGCACCGTGGTATCCATTAGGGGTATCCACAAAGTCAAGTCTGTATTGATTTACTAATTTCTAATATACATATGCCTACTTCTATATATACTGGAGATGTATGAATTAAACTAATGTTCTTCACACAGTATTTCTAAAGGATCAAAATCAGTATAGACAATAGCCAGCAGGAAAGATGAGAGCTAAATTACAAAATATGGAGATTTTTACTGAAACTGAAAATTAAATTTAAAGGTAAGAAGCAAACTGAAACAATATAGCTTCTTGTCATCTGAAAGGAAAATAATTTGCTTTCAGGGAAAATAAACATTTACTGGTTTTAAACATAGACATAATTTATCACATGAAAAAGACACTGAATAACAATGTCTCTATATCTGCAGAAAATGCAGAAAGTGCTGTCCTTCAGCTACTGCTTATATTGGTAAAATTGGAAAGCTGATGAGAGAATCAACTGCTACAAATCACTGCTAAGGAGAAGTAAGCCCATGTGTATTGTTTTCTAGTGCTCTAACTTGAACCTACCTACAGAAATGAACTGGTACCATGTTTTTTTAGGTGGATATTTATGAGAAGCACTTGCCTCAACCATATTTTGCCTGGAGCTAAATAAAATAGTCATTTCAAGATTGAGCTCTCAGACAAGTGCCCGGCACATACATATTCTATGTTGATGACTGAAAATCTACCAGATGGTCTGGCAGCAAGGTTACAGTCTGTTACGGAAATTAAGGAGTTGAATTATATTTTTGCCCACTTGGAGGATCATCCCCTGTCCACGTGGAGGTGAACAGTAGGGGACCTATGGGTAGAACCAATTTTTAAAAAGAGCTTTTAATTTCCATCAGCTGAAGACTTTTCTCTATTTTTATCTTAAAAGCCATATCAGCTAGACTGGTATTGACTCCCCAGGAGGCCAACTTAAGAAGAATTTTGAGGCAGTTTCAGAATTCTGTGGCAAAACAAACAAACAAAAAAAACCCAGTCAGACTTATTAGGGAAATGTGCCATGAACAAGAGAACAGGCAGGCTATTTATCTACGTACCAAGATTTACTCCCACAGAGATTTGCACCATACAGTTGGGAAGACTCTGGCTTAGATCATTTTTGGAAGAGGTAAATCTCAATTGGCTTCTCTAGAATGTATGACTGTGAGTTTCACTGCCTTGTTTTGAGCCCATGAGCTACAAAATGTACTCCTGAAAGACTCTTGATGAAATTATTTACCGTGGCTCATGTACAGTTATGCTACACCAAATGCAAATTTAGTTTTATTCTAGCTGCTCCAGAGTTGATAGTCTCTGGGAGTTACGTCCAACTTGTTTGGCTGCTTAAGAAACATTCTGACTTCTGATAGTGTAATGATGTCATTTATAAAGAAGGAAATGTCTGATTTGCTTATTTCTAATGGCAAGACGATAGGTATGTAGCTTCTGTCAAATTATTTTAAAATGTTAAACGAGTATATTCAGGTACATGTGGGTATGTATGGGGGGGAATATATCCCCATTTTATCCCATTTACTATGATAATTTGATCTCAGCAAGGTCTTTTTATCTATCCTCTCCCCTTTTTAAAATAGTAGCTTCCCATCACTACTACTCTAACATTACATATTGAGCTTCCCCATCTCATATTTCCAAATAACACTAATTATCATCTTTAATACAGTGTGTAATTCACACATATATTTTATCCATTGGCTTTTCTTTCCCCATGAGAATATTTGTTCCTTAAGGGCAGAGATTTTCATGTTTTAATTTCTTCTACATACCAGGGTCTAGAATGGTGACACTATACAGAGTAAAAACTCAATAAATAAGCAGGTGTTGAATAAGTTAATGAACACATCCACCAATAGATGTTGTCTACCCATTCTGAGTCTATAATTATACTGATATATACTGATTTAAAGAATAAATAAGATTTTCATTTATGTGGGAATCACATGACTTGGCCCAGACATTGATTCTTACAATGGGGAATGGGAAGAGGGCAATGATAGATCAAAACAGACTAGTCTTAAAGTGCATGGTTGTTCTTAACTGCTTTTTTAAGATGAAATAGTATATTTGAGGAGACCATTCATTCTATAGTTCACTGCAGCTATACCTCCCTTAAGTTCAATCCTGACAAATATTGCTGTTTTCTTTAAAAACCTTCAAAGATTATCAAAATCCATATTCCTTGGTTGGTCTGAAATTCATTGATTTCTCCCTCCCTGACATTTGCTTCTAACCAAACGTTACAACCTCATTTCTACTGCCACTACGTTTTACCCTACATTCTATTAATACTAATTCTCTCCTATATTCCAGTACAAATGAACTATACTAAAATAAAAATCTCTGATGACCAAATACTATTAAAGCTTTAACTGGAACTTAGCAAGGATGTTGAGTTAGCCTCATCCTTCCAGATTCTGAAATTTTCAGTGTGAGCTGGTTTGTTTGAGAAAACAGAACTGGAGAAAACGGTTATATTCGCTATTCTGAGTTAAGCTTAATTGAGTCCACAGTTACTGGTATTGCATGTTACAACTGTATAATACCTGAAAAATCCTGTTAAAAAAAGAAAAAAATGGGCCGGGCGCGGTGGCTCACGCCTGTAATCCCAGCACTTTGGGAGGCCGAGGTGGGCAGATCACGAGGTCAGGAGATCAAGACCATCCTGGCTAACACGGTGAAAACCCTGTCTCTACTAAAAATACAATAAAATTAGCTGGGCGTAGTGGCAGGCGCCTGTAGTCCCAGCTACTCGGGAGGCTGAGGCAGGAGAATGGCGGGAACCCGGGAGGCGGAGCTTGCAGTGAGCCCAGATCGCGCCACTGCACTCCAGCCTGGGCGACAGAGCGAGACTCCGTCTCAAAAAAAAAAAAAGAAAAGAAAAGAAAAGAAAAAACGCATAAGGTTCCTTGGTCAGACCACATAATAAAATTCTGAAATTCTTTTATTACAAAGAAGAATTTGACAACTGGTAAAAATGTATTTTTTTATGTTTGTCTGCCAACTCACTTCCTGAACAACAGATTGTAAGATCTATGAGTGGAGCACCATGATCTGTTTTCATCACTATTAAATACCCAAAACCCAGCATAGTGTCTTGATATGGATATTTATTAAATCATTGTAACTATAGAATTAAGGTGGAAACTTTAGTTTAAAAGGCAATTTCCAATCATTTATTGTGTACTTTCCATGGGTTTTAATGAAAAAATTTGAATGTGTCCACCAGTTTATTAAAGCTGGTAATTGGCTGCCTTCAGAGCTCACAGCATGGTCCATGTGAAAAGCGTGAGTGGGGGCAAACCATATATTGGAGACCATGGTTTTTAATTTCCAACTGCTCTCACATAGAATCACCAAGAACCTATAAAGGTAACAAATATGTGAATTCATTCTTAGAGGTTGTCATTGTGGCTGCTTTTTTTTTTTTCCTTTTCATGAAATAGAAAAGAGTAAAGGAAACAGGGCAGGCATATTAAAGTCAGCGAGATGTTAGAGTAGGTTTGGGTCTTAATAGCAAATTCTGTTCCAGTCCTGGCATGTTTAGAGTGTGAAAGAGCATTAAGAATGTCCCTTTTGCACTGACATTCCTATTGTCATTAAAAGTAACATGTGAAAATGTCAATTTATAGCCATTAGGTAAAAGTACTATACTTATAAAATGAAAATTAAGCTACCTACAATAGTAATAGAAAAATACATTTTTAAAAAGGTCAAACTACACAAATAAAGTATTTAGAAGCAATTAGCAAAGCAGCATCTGAGAAAGTAGTGATAATATAACTCAGTGCTTACCATGTACTAGAGAATTTTCTAAACACTTCACATATATAAACAAATCCTATGACATCCTTGTAAGGTAGATTCTGGGATTATATTCATTCAGCTAAAACACACACACACACACACACACCCCTGAGACCTATGTAGGTCAAATAATTTGTCCAAGGTTTTAGAGCCAATATGTGCCATAGCCTGAACTTTAACCAAGGCAGTATGGCATGTAGCCTGTATTTTAACCACTGTAAACCAAAGTCTTCCAAACTGGCAGTCTTTGTTAAACAAGATAAAAGACTGATGTCCCTGTCTGCAATGATCCATGTCCGCTTTCCTATCATTATCTCTTTCTAACTCTATGCCTACAAATAAATACACAGATTAATTGATGTGGTATTTGTTAGTGTGGCCCAGAGCCCACCTACTTCGGAATCCCCTGAAGAATGCAGATTCCTGAGCATCATCCCACACCTAACTAAGCAGAATATATGGGGGTGGGTCCTGAAATCTATGTTTAAAATTAATCCCTTCTATTTGTATAGAGGTCAAAACCAGGAAGTCTAAGCATTAATGGATACATACACACTTGTTTACTTATTCCAATAAATATTAATTATCTATTATATACATTCATGTTAGATACACCAAAAGGAAAATCTGTGGGATGACCGAAACAGAGCTCTAGAAAGTGGTCACATCTGGTAGGGAGAGAGCATGATACCACAGGGATGAATACAGAGGGCCCTGGATGTCATGTTCTGCCCTTAAGCCGGGCATGGATAAACAGGTATTCATTTTGTTTTTACTAAAACCATTTACAGTTAAAAGTATGTGATTCAATAGACATCCAAGTAACTTTCACACAGACTAAAGTTTGAGAGCTTCTTTCTAGGTGAATGCAGGAAGATTCTATTAGGGAAAAAGCATGGCATGCCCTAATTGTCTCTGTTTAGACAATTAGCAGATTCATTTGGCAAATAGACATGTTCATGTAGGCAACTTCAATCTGAAAACATTCCCTTTTGTCCTAAATGTATATCCCTGAATAATGATGTGATAGTTTAGTTATACATTCATTCAAAAATGTTAATAAAATGATACTATGTTCCAGGCACTGTACTGGCCAATGAGAACAATGCTAGCAAGACTGGTAAGTCCTTGAAATTAACTTTTAAATCATATTTATATACTATGATTGTCCAGTATATAGCAAATGAGTTATTTTTATAAAACATGAAGGATTTTTGAGGCCCAAATGAATGAATAGATTCTATATTTTATATGCAGACATTATTCTATACATTACAATAAAATTAGCTTATCTCCTGAAGTTATTACATGTTATGTAATTTTATTTTATTTACACAGTACCGTGTCTCCCATGACCCAACAAGTAATGTTTTCAGAAATCACTTCAACTCTCTTTGAAGTGAAGGCTTATCTCAAGTGAAATACTGCTGTTGCTTCACAGTGGCATCATAACATAGGACTGGAAATAAGAAGAGCTTCATTTCAAATAAACACATAATACATTCATTAAAATGGGTGATATGCTATGTATAATATCCTCTTATGGCAACATTTGTGTTAATGGTGCAAAATACAAAAAAAAAAAACAGAAGAAACAGAAATAATCTACAAGGCCTAGAGCAAGTAGATTTGGAACTTCTTATGTTAATGCATTTAAAGTCTTAACTAAACTTTGTATTAAAAATGCCTAAGTAGTATCTCTATAAAGAATCAAAACCTCCATAAAACATGTGACAAAGTATCTGAAAAAGCAAAAAGAAAAAAAAAGCAAAGGTAAAGGAGTATAAAATATCCCCACTCCCATAAAAATTAAGAATATTGCATCACTTTAGCAGAAACATTACTAATATAGTCAATAGATAGATAACAGAGATAGAGATCTATCTACCTTTATAAAATGTGCTAGTCACTTTCACATACATCAATTTATGTAATCCTAATTATAAAAACCTATTAAGGTAACTCAAGTATAAACTTCTATAGCATTGGATAGGAAACATGTCCCTTCACTGATTTATCATGAATCAAGAATATTTCTTACAAATCAACTTGGGTAACGATTGCACTAAAATTTCAGAATTCAAAAAAAGAATATTTCTTACAAATCATGTGCCAAGCACGTAGGGCTACCGAAGCATTTTATTTTTCATATAATTTGTAGACCTTCTATATTCTTTGTCATTAGATTCTGCACACTTTCATGTGTTGGTAAATGATAAATTTCACATGTATAATATAGAATTCCAACTTGGCATTTTCTACATACTGACTGCAAACACAGTTGCTCACAAAATTTGATACTCTAGAATCGGTGCACAATAGCTGTGGAATCATTTTGTGGGTAAAGCTAAAAATAGCAAATGCTGTTGAAGATGCTTAAATTTCTTTCTTAAAAAGTTGTTTTCAAACTATTAATTTTATTTAAAACAATAAATGCATATATAGGTACATGTCGATATGTAATGATTTATTCATTAATTTTTATAGAAAGTTCTGGGGCAATTAGACAATGGAAAAGATATCATTTTCACTGATGCTTAAAATTAAAGGAACTCATTTTGGATGAGAAAATAAAGTTGATTTATCAAATATTTAAGAATATTGCATCATTTTAGAAGAAACATTACTAATATAGCCAATAAATAGATAATATAGAAATAGAGATGTATATAATATGCTAGTCATTTTCATATACATCAATTCATGTAATCCTTGCAATAATTCTGTGTCATTAATATTATGTTCATTTTATATACAAAGAAACTAAGGCCAAGAACAGAAAGTTTACACAATTAGCTAATGAAGTTTCTTCTAGATGCAGATACAAGATTTTGTTTTGGATGTAGCTAGATCTGGAGAGAAGACACTCAGAAAAATCTAATACATAAATTATTGAAAGAGATAATTAGTTCTTCCCATAAAAATGATTTTATTAATTATCATGATAAGTGTCAAATTACCAAACTCATTATATGACATATCATGGGAGAGTGATGTTACAGATTATGGATTTATATAATGCCAAGCAAATTATTCCAGCAGAATCTCCACTTTGCCTTTTGACCCTAGTTATCTAGAACTCTGGGATGAGAAAAGGGTTCTGCCAGATCAAAAGCAGGATAAAAAGAGAAAGCAATATTTTCTACAGAGATCTTTTTATACAACGTGAGTTAGAATCTCTAAGACTAGAGCAGGTATCACACTGAGGACAGCAAAACAATTTTAAGATAAACCATTATAAAGGGACTTCATTTCCTAAACACTTCTTTTCCAAAGGGAGTCATTGGCCAATTCAGTACAGAAATATCTCAAGCCTATTTGTGAAATATAAACCCTCAAGAGTCACCTACACATTTATTACTACCATTCTCTTGATTAGATGATATGCCTTAATAATCCTCTCTCACAATAAAAAACTTCAGCTTTTTATATAGTATAAACATTTCATATAGATTAAAATTATGATAGCTATTAAGCCTTTCAAAAGTATTATGCAAATTCTCTTTCAACTATAACAGTATTTCACACAGCCAGGAGCAATGAAAGATGGGATTGTCTTAAGGAAAGAACACAACATTATTATTATTATTTTACCGATAGATAAAAGTAGGCTGTGAATGTCATTCCATTTTGTAGTCAAGGTTAACAGTATTCTAGCTAGTGAGCAACCTATTGGGCCATTCACTTGGCATTACTGAGAACTAAAAACATTCATAAGTGTCAACTAATATAAATTAATTATCTAAATAAGTCTAACATTGTAAAAGCACACAAGTGATTCTTTTTTTCTCAACCACTATTTGTCTGTGACTTTTAATGTAAGAAGACACTGTGCAGACTCTTTAGATTTTTCAGCTGAAATGACCAGATGTTCAGATAAATATGTTTTATTATTTTTAGGACAATGTAATGTGCTTTTCTTCCATCTGAAATGTCATCATGACATTACTATTTTTTAATATTTAGTTGTGGGACCACTTATATAAAAAAATTGATTTGTAATAAGAATCCAGAGTACACATTATTTTTAAGGTGCTATTGAAATATAAAATGCTTTCTACACAGCGGCACCCCTTTATATTTTTTTCCTTTCTTGTATACCCTCCAAACTCCGACCCCCTTCTTTATTCCTGGTAAGTTTACATTTATGAATATGTGTGCTTATCTTGGAGTAGGTCATCTAGTTTTTACATTATTTTAAACTAGTTGCAACAAAGTCATTGTTTCTTTGTGAAGTCCCCCATTCTAAGGAAGATTCTGTGCACATAGCAGTTCTTTTCTTAGGATAAAGCCTAATCAAAATATTGGCTATACTTTGCTATTACAAAGTTTCCTCCTAGAAATGGGGATCTTGAGTTTCCTCCTAAATCTTTCAAAGCTCTAGAAATAAATATATTTTAGTTTGTAAGAAGAGTAACGTTGATTTCACTCAGGAATATGTAACAATTATCAATAAAGAGATAATTTAAATATTTTTCTGCAATGGTGTGTTGGTGAGTGTAGAATGGTAAGAAATGCCTTCTTTGCTGAATATCTTGAGACCAGGACCCAGTCTGTGTTTAGGAACTTGTTTTGACAGAAGCGATCATTTCTAGAGTCTTTCCCAGATCCCATCAAAACACATATCTATGCCCTGTGGTTTAAGATAGGTCCAGAGGAAGTGTTTCATTTGCCTACAATTAGCAGACAACACTATCTCAGCTGGTATAAGCAATACAGAATATTTTATTTCTAAAATATTTCAGAAGTTTCCTCATTTTTCCATTTACTCCTCTTACTAAAGTTGTGGCTTACAGCAGGGGTCCTCAAATCCCTGGCTGCAGACCAGTATCAGTCCAGTGCGTGGCCTCTTAGAAACCCGGCAGCACGGCAGGAGGTGAGCGGCTAGTGAGCCACCATTACCTCCTGAGCTCCGCCTCCTGTCAGATCCGCGGGACATTAGATTCTCATAGAAGCACGAATGCTATTTTGAACTGCACATGTGAGGGATCTAGGTTGCACGCTCCTTATGAGAATGATGATCTGAGGTGGGACAGTTTCATCCCAAAGCCATCCCCGGTAACTAAACCCCCCCCACCCCGTGCCCCACCATATCCTCACCCACATCCATGGAGAAATTGTCTTATACTAAACCAATCCCTGGTGCCAAAAAGGTTGGGGAGCGCTGGCTTAGAGGTAGGAATTGACACCATCAGAGGGCTCAACAATGTCTTCAAGGACAGATTTTCTTCCATATCTCTATTCTATGGCCCTTAGTCTCAGCCTCATTTCAAGGCTGTTTCCTCTCTGGGTGGCAACATGGCTACCGCAGTTGGAGATACAAACATTCTATGGTAGAAGAAAGGTTGTTTATATCTTTATCCTGCTTTACCAGTGATTGAAATTTTACCAAGGACTAACCACAAGAGAGTTTTCCTCATATTCTGTAGATCATACTGAGTCACCGAGCCACACCTAACCCAATCTGTCAGAAGGGGAAGGAGACCACCATGGCTGGCTACAAGTCATCAGGTTATCTTAGTCACTTGGGAAAGATTTTGAGATTGGAAGAAAATCAGGACTCTCCCAGCATGGTGGACATAAATGTTGTTGAGTAGGCAACAACTGCTATTACAGGTCAATTCATTTACCCAAGAGATATTCATGCCCTTCCTTTCACACACATGTCTAAAATCTGGTTTGGATGGAGAAAACCAAAGAACAAACGGGAGGGGAAGGACTCATGAGGTCTTGCAGGATGGCAAGCTAGTAAGAAGGCACAGACTATCAATGCTGCTTGTACTTTGGCATACCCTGGGAAATGATTAATTGGTAATTTGATTCATTTTGGTACCATAGAAGAAATAATTTACCATTAACTCCCTGGTGCTCTGAAGGAGTTAATTTTCATCACATGGATGAACACTTTATTCCCAGAGAGCATCTTACTCACTCTGCCTGTTCATGGAAAGAGACTCAATTCAAGGAAATACAGAACTATTTGGAAAGAACATTTTACTGAATTAAACACTGTCTGTGCTCACTCATGTGATGCTGATTAGCTCATTGTATTCTTTTAGTCTGTTTGCCAAGAAGCACAAGAAAAAGGAGTATGTACTACCAATTTAATTACATAGGTAGCCAATAATATTTATTAAGCACCTACTGTTTGCAGAGAACTATCCATGGAATGACGATAGTCCCAAAAGAGCTAGATAATATTAATGCAGAGACAAGTCAGATAGAAGCCAATAAAACTCTGGCTTTTTCAGTCTGTCTGCAAAATTAAGGCAGCAACACCTTATAAGCACATATTTCATTGCAAAACTGGTAGATAGCATGCAGTAAAGAGAGAAGCAAATAATTAACTCGTCATCAGTTGTAAACTTTACTCAGTAAAATCTTAAAGGTGTTTTCCTTTTTTTTTTTTTTTTTGACGGAGTCTCGCTCTGTCACCCAGGCTGGAGTGCAGTGGTGTATCTCAGCTCACTGCAACCTCCGCCTCCCGGGTTCAAGCGATTCTCCTGCCTCAGCTTGCCGAGTAGCTGGGACTACAGGCGCATGCCACCACACCCAACTAATTTTTGTATTTTTAGTAAAGAACGGGGTTTCACCATGTTTGCCAGGATGGTCTCGATCTCTTGACCTCGTGATCCGCCCGCCTCGGCCTCCCAAAGTGTTGGGATTAGTGGCGTGAGCCACCGCGCCTGGCCAGTGTTTTTCTTTTTAACACTTCTAGCATCCTGGCTCACTTCACCCCAGTTTATTCCTCTCAAAGCTAGCTACACTCCATTTTTTTTTGAACTCACAGATGATACTCATTATTTGTCTATACAGTATTACATGTTTATTTCATATTCTTTCATATATCAACATCTTAAATGTTGTTCAGATTTAATAATATCTCATTTCTGATTTTTAAAAGAAGGGTAATAAGAAAAGGGATGGTAAAGAATGTTAGTATAACCAAAATTTGATACATTAATAATACCATTTTATTTTAGATAAATGCATCAGATACTGTATTGTAGAAAAACATTCAATAGTATTTTAAATAGAATACTATCAATTTTACTCACAATTTTAGGGGAAATAATCAAATATTATTTTACATATTTCTCATTCCTTAGATGAGAAATTGTATTTTCTTAATATAATACACAAAATAATAGTTTATGAGGACATATGATCAAGTCAACCATCTTTGATTCAAATATTAATATTGTTCTAGCAACAAGAGGTGACAACTTCAGTGTAATGGAAAATTTTGTTTGTTTTTCAGGTTAAATCAACATAAGAAAGCTAGTTTAATATAACATTCCTCGATGCTGTAAGATTGCTGAATGCTCTACAATGTGCCATTGCTTGGTGCCATTAGACATTCCTGGGGATTGGCACAGGACCCATTTGCATTCTACAGAGTGAAGTGCTGAGAAAGAATTTATGGAGATTGAAATGTGAGCTAAATTGAGAGCATAATTCCAAGCAGATGATTTCAGTTAATTAAAACTGGTAGTACAGGTTCCATATAAATGGGTGCTGGTAATTTCCAGAATATATGAGGACATCTACTGAACTATTCATTTTATCACAGTCTAATAAGCTGTGATAAAATGCTTTAACTACCATGAGGATTTATGAAACCAACTGTGTTTATCAGACTGATATTCAGTCAACTCTGACATATTAAAAGAGGGCCCAATTTGGCTTATCAGTGCCCTTACTTCCCTTTATCCTCCTTTCTACTCACTCTAAACTCATTATATCCTCCATTAGAGGAATAGCAGGGAATAACTCAATTGCTCTGAATATTTTTGATGAAACTTGCTTTGAGTGAGTTTGAGCCAGGCAAACATTAAGGTTGAGACTAAGCTGGAGAATATGTCTATGTTTCATTTCTGGACATATATGAAGAAACTAACCATTAATTTCCAATACTTAATGGATAATGAGAACACCACCAATCAACTTGCTAAGCATTTGTTCATATTCTTACCTTTTTACCTGGTTGCCTATATTAAGAGACAACATCAGTTGCAACATCTCAACAACTTTTGGACAATAACTAAATCCTTCCAAACTGAAAGGATTTTTTTCATATTCTAATATGAAGTTTAGTAGAGAGTTAATTGAGTGTTTCCTCAAGTAAACTCTAGTAATACTAATATAATGCCATTGGTGATGGGTAGTCTCTTCCCCTATCCTTGCTACTAAATCGGATCATAAAGTATCCCCAATGATATCACTGATATTTAACTTTGGTTGTAAAACCCCTACCAGTTGGTGCCAAATAACCTCTAGGACCTAAAGAATTTGGGCTACAGAATTGGCCCCTCAAAGCTCCAATGCTCCACTAATGCAGGCAGTAATGAGTCCTCACATTTTTCTGACTATATAGTTTACATATTTTAGCCCAATTTTATTTGAAAAGATCTAAAACTGCTTCTTGAGTTAAGATTGGTCTGTCACAGAGGCCTACTTATGATCCAATTCCACACAGAAATCCAATAACTAGCATCCAG